>NW_013171808.1:0-181958 GCF_000001405.40 Homo sapiens
GAATTCAGAAGTGTGTGGTAATCTCTCTTGAGAATTTGGTACCTATCTGATAGGACTGTAAAGGCATTTCAGAATGTCAATTAAATGGAAAAATATGCCTGGAATTGAATATAATTAAGAAATGTTGAAGTCTGGTGTCTACATATTCAGACACTGTATAAGATGGTTTAATTAGTGAACAAGGATTTGGATTTATTGACAGAAGGTCTCTTTCTCATGGCATGTTTCACTCATTAAAAGCTCATAATGTCTTGGATCTTTTTAGCTGTTGGAACTTGACCATTTGTCATTTTGTGCTTCTTGACTTCAGTGATGTCGTTTTTTTTTTTTTTTTTTTTTTTTTTGTTTAACTGTGCAACTGATTAGGATGATGTTGCTTCTCTCATTGATGATTATTTCCATGGAGTGGACGCATGGTGTCTTGTAAACATTATGAAGCATCACCAAAGCACTAGGCAAAACTCAGTACCTCTGAAAAACAACAATTGGGAGGTAGAATTATTATTGTGGAATTTTTGGCCTAGCAACTTAGAAGTAATTAGAGTAACTTCCTCTTTATAACTACTAGCTTTATATTATATTTACCTGATGGCAGAATTTACATTTAAATTCACATTTCTCTACATCTCTCTCAGTTTTTCAGTTAATGGTTTATTAGTTTAAATCCTTTTTATTCCTGACTGTTGGGCTGAAACAGTTTCTAATCATACAGAAGACTGAAATTCTTTTTTAATATTCTTGTTGTTGGATATATTTCTTTTTGAACTGCATTTGATGATTATAAGTGCCTGAAAGAACTGCAGTTAGTAAAGAGAGAACTTGGGAATGTTGACAAGTGAGGTAGGGAGAAACATGGTTCAGTTAGTCCTTGAGGATTTTTCATTACCTGTTTATAACTTAGATTTTGGCTGTCTCCTATACTGGTACTAATGTGAACAGCTACTTTATAAGATTTTTTAATTCCTCATCTTCATAGGTATGTTCTCTAAGTCAGAGCTATTTAAAGTAATCTAGCGTTCCATCTTTCCTGTAGACATAGCAGATCATTCACAGTCTGGTTGAACTAAGTACACATTACATCGTTGGTCGTTTTGGTGGCATGTGCTGGGTTCTTCAGGCCCGTGTCATTGTTGGCAAAGTATACTAAGAGTGCTACTATTATCTTGGACTAATTTTTTCATGGAGCATATTAAATAAATGTGGTGTCTGACCCTTCAAAAGTTAGCTTCCTCACCTGAGTGATGTTCAGCTAAATAGGTATAAGTCGTAATGTATGTGTGATCCTAAGTCAGTAAGATGGTGAACTGAAGTGACATCATCTGCTTGGAAGTCCCTGGATTAACAATGGGACTTATATTTATATTCAGAAGACAACTGCTACAATGAGGAAATTGGGCAATCTAGGCAATTGAACAATTGAATGGGAAATGTAAGACAAAACATATTATATTGCCAGATCAATTCCCTAGATCTTGTTGAATTATACGATAATTAGATAATCTTCTTTTATTTGGAAGTGTACATTTTGTAAGTGTAATAACTTGCAATAATCACTTTATTCCTAAGTTGTATTCAGCAGTGCACATGTTGTGTTCAGTTTACATTCTGCATATTTTTGTTAAATAGGTAGTATTAATAACATATTTTACCTCATATCCAAAGAGAAAGAGGGAGATGCAGGTATTTTGAGATTTATCACTTTCATACAGCTCATCAGTGGTTACTATAATAATCCAAGTGAATAAACCTAGATTGTTCTTTATACAATAGATATGTTTTTAAACATTGAGTGTAAATGACATTTTTCAAAACAAATCACATCTTAAATGCTTTCAACTAGGGAAAATACACTCTTTATTTAAACAGATGTGGCAAATTATTTTTATAAAGTAAATAACAATTTGTCTCTCTTACATTTATCTGTTTTTTAAGTTTAGATTTTGTATATTAAATTTCTCAAAGAGATGCAAGAGTGTATACATATTGGAAATACGTTTTTGTTCAAATATATAATAAAATGAAAGAGTTTGACCTTCTCCCTCAGTACTGCTTTGACGAGAAGTGGCATCAGAGGGGAAAATAAAGGGAGAAGATGGAACTAGAATGAGAAAAAACAGAAATGTCCACCTAGTTTATGGAGATGTTGAGGAAATGTTAAAGTTTAAGAATTTCTGGGCCAGGAGTGGTGGCTCACGCCTGTAATCCCAGCACTTTGGGAGGCTGAGGCAGGCAGATCACCTGAGGTCAGCAGTTCGAGACCTGCCTGGCCAACATATAGTGAAACTCCGTCTCTACTAAAAAATACAAAAATTGCCAGGCACGGTGGCTCATGCCTGTAATCCCAGCATTTTGGGAGGCCGAGACCAGTGGATCACAAGGTCAGGAGTTCAAGATCAGCCTGACCAACATGGTGAAACCGTATCTCTACTAAAAATATAAAAATTAGCCAGGTGTGGTGGTGGGTGCCTGTAATCCCAGCTACTCAGGAGACTGAGACAGGAGAATCTCTTGAACCCAGGAGACGGAGGTTGCAATGAGCCGAGATTGTGCCATTGAACTCCAGCCTGGGTGACAACAGTGAGACTCCGTCTCAAAAAAAAAAAAAAAAAAATTAGCTGGGCGTGGTGGCACATGCCTGTAGTCCCAGCTACTTGGGAAGCTGAGGCAGGAGAATCGCTTCAACCTAGGAGGCAGAGGTTGCAGTGAGCTAAGATTGCGCCACTGCACTCCAGCCTGGGTGGCAGAGCAAGACTCCATCTCTCAAAAAAAAAAAAAAAATTCTGGACAGAAGGGCCAGGCCAGTCCAACCCAGAATCATACCTCTGACAATGTCAGTACTTTTGCTGACACTCCCATTTCTAGCCTTTGGAGCATCCAGAGAAGTTCCCCTCATCTCTCAGGGCCTCTTGTCTTCTGCAGCCCCTCTGCCTTTTTCTCTCTTTGGTACTTCTTGGCCCCTTTATCTCTCCCAACCCTCTCTAGTTCCTGTAGTCACTGGTTGCAGCTCCATGCCGTCCTGAAGGTATTGCTTACACCTGACCTCTTATATGGTCTCTTCATATCTCTGCACTCAGGTCCCCCTACACTTTGTGGTATTATTGCAGCACTGTTCACATGCCTTGTAATGAAATTACCTGCGCGGGTGTCTCTTTCTCCCATAGGCCATCATTCCCTGGGCTCAGTGGGATAACATATTAACCTTTGGTCTCCCACTCTTATTGCTATATCTTGCTGGTATTTAATATTTAAAATTGAATGACTCTATTTGTTTATGTTCAACTTGGTTAGTGATTATGGACTTCCACAATTGACCATCTATGACCAAATATTGAAAAATATCTCTTTGAGCTATTAAGACTGCGTTATGATTCTGGTACTGCAAAGATATATTACTTCTGAGGTCCACATTTCACAGTTGGAGGAAAGATCCTCTAGGCATAAATACACATGCTCTTTATTGGCTGATCTGCTCAAGCTCTGGATCTTTCCTGTATGTTCTAAGCAAGTGTTGGGAACACATCAAGAGGGCATGTTGGATGCATCCAGGTGTCCAGCCGCCTTTCAGTAGCATCACTTTGTCTTCAAGGAATGTATGATAAGGGTGTTATGTACCTAATAGTACATTTGCATGGCGTTTGATGTTCACAGTCGAAGGTAAAATAGACTGGGAGGTAGGAGCATATCTCAGTGCTGAGTTCTTTGTGTCTCAAGAAAGCATAGAACACATAAGTAAGAATGTTATTATTATAAGAATCCTTGGAGCCTTTCTCAATTCTATTTAAAAATTAAATTATTCATAAACACCTGTGCTGTAACTATTATTACACTAAGTTACAGTCAACACACCTCATAAGGGATTGAGTCTTTCCAGTATATTCTGAGGCCCAGATGCCCACTGGGGTATGGGTCACTCCATAGTGACCATTGTGGGCAAGAAGATCTTTCTTTAAAAGTTGGAGGTACAGTTTCTGGTACATAATAATGCTTGTCTATGTAAAGCGAATGTATGAAGTAATGTGACAGTTCATAATGGAATAGATAAAAATGCAAGTCTTGTAAAATTTAAATCCCCCTCTCCTTTTTTTTTGTTCAATTACACTGCACTATATTCATTATTTGAGGGGCAGGCTGGTGAAATCAACACGTGAGCAGGTGCGTGTCTTGGGAATGTCCTACTACAAAAAATATTCAATGACTATTTCCTGAATGAATAGAAATTGGAAAAGGCTGTGTCTGTCTTTTAGACACTTTGTTATTCTGTGAGTTTAACAAACAAAATCTCATTAACACCAAATCCACAGGAGCATGAGAAATGTGTAATGCTCTTAATTTCTTATTAAGTGATCTGTGTTTATTAAAAATTGGCTCGGAGGTACACTGCACATAATTCATAATATTGGAGTCTATATCCCTGAATCTTTCTTGTACTTAAAATTTGCTCACAGTTCAGTGTTGGGATCTTGGGTAGGAAAAGGGATATCTTATTTCTGGCGAGATTTACTGAAATGGGAAGATGACGAGTTAGACTTTGGAGATCCTTTTTTCATGCTCCCATGCCTTTTAGTTTTGTGTGATTGTTTTAGGCCTTTATTTCTCCAGGCATACTTTGTACATGTCTATAAGCAGATGAGAGGGAGCAAGGGCACATAGGGGCTGATAGAGGCAAATGTAAATCCCGTTTTTTCCCTATTAACTCATGAGGCCTGCTGGGTAGCAGCAGGCATTACCAGACATTTAATTGTGTGTAAGGTAAGGTTGGCACAATTCCAGCATCATGGTGGAGCAAGAATTATACTAATCAGCTGGGATATACTGCATATATTGATTAGAGTTGGATTTTGTTATGCAAAAGAAAAAATCCTTATAAATAGTGGGAAAGTAATTGAGAGTAATTAAAAAGGCAGAGAGTTAATTCACAGTTCTTTAGATGAAAGGGTATTTTGATCCTTTGCTTCCATGCAGATTTCCGGGCAGGCTGGAGCAGTCTGTGAGTGCTGAGTGTAAATGGTATGATCGATGTTACCATTCAACTGGATAGTAAACAGGCAAGCTGTGTAGATGATACACTGGTGACCAATTTCGAACAGTTTCTACTTGGTGACTCTCCTTTGTTTGGGACTAGGGACTTTTCCCTTATTTTTCTTGGACTTTTATATAACTTTTAATCATTATTAATATCCCTGATGAGAACTAAATGTGGACCCCAGTATCCTAGTGAACACTGGTGAGAATATTATACCACTTTGGAGTTACCTGGAATTCCAGCATGTTTTAATGTTGCTGCCCTCCTTCTTCCAAACGAGAAGGCTTTATAGCCTTTGGTGTCACAGAAGACCTGTCATCTGTGAATGGTGACCTGAAATAGTGTATTCACACACACTTTCTTGCCTCTTGAGCCCTTTCACTCATAGACAGTCCTTCCAAAAAATACTCAGTGAATACTGGTCCAATGAATGAATGAGATATTGTAGATTTTGGATGGTAGAATAATTTAGCATCTTGAAGAGAAATTATAGGTGGTATTTGGTGGAGTTCTGAGTATTACTATCTGAGATCCTGAATAAGATGTAGGAAATGGGAATGTGGTGTGGGGAAAGAAGAAAATAGCTATGATTTATTGAGTATCTACTTTATCATACTCTTTGCATACGCACTTTTGTTCTGGCATCACCCATGTCCTATGAAGTAGATATTAATATCATCATTTCACAGGTGACAAAGATAGGGTTAGGAGCAGAAACAAGGTCATAGGCCTTAATTGGCAGGGTTGGGATTTGAATCTAAAGCTCTTGTTGATAATAACATCAAGAGTAGCAGCCCCCATACTGGGAAAGGAGGAGGGTTTCATATTCTCAGAATCTGGGTGTGGGCCCAAAGATAGAACATGAGTATCAGGTGGATTTCTTTGAGGGCTGAGTATTTTTCTTCAAAAATTATGCTAATTTTACAGTCTGTTCCATAATGTGCTTGTTTAAATGTGAAACATATTAACTTACTTAGTCATCAAAGCACTTAAATTTTCTCCCCTAAATCTTTAAGTAAAATTGACCACCCAAAAGTTGCTCCCAGTATATACTCAGAGACACCTCTGGAATGTCCACATAGGGAATCGGAGGGGGCAATCTGGTTGGAAGAGGAACTGAGGGTATCTTGAAATTTCGTTTGTATAGCAAGCAGGTTTTGTTTGTTTGTTTTGTTTTTTGTTTTTGCTTAGATTGCATGCTTACTTAGGGTGGCCTGGGGCTGTTACAGATGGGGAAAGGGCTCATGCTCCAGATTTCATCTTTGTTTACCTAGGAACTTTAGGAATCATTATTGTAACTGCTGTCAATCCAAGTTTGAGAAGCCTGCACAGAACTATACTGCCCTAAATTATTTAAATAATAATAGTAATGAGAACAAATACTATGCATGTGTTTAATTATGAAGGGCTGTTTCTGTTATCTTATTTTTACCATAGAGATGATAAAGTTTATGTGGGAAACTTGAGAAAAAAAGAATGTGGATAAAGAATCCTGAAAAAAACAGAGTACTTCTAAACTTCCTGCTGGTCAGTTGGTATTGAATTGATAGTAGACTATCAAAAAAGAGTTCTTGACAATATTAATAACAGTAACGTGCATTCGTTTGTAACTTTGCCATTTGCAACTTTTCATTCATTTTTGCGTTTGTTAATAACAACTAACATTGCTGAGAGCTTTACATGTATTATCTCATTTATCCCCCAACAACTCTATGAGGCAAATACTATTATTATCTCTACCAAAAGAAATTGGTATTTCTCTACTAAAGAAATTGAGGCATAGAGCTTCTAAGTGACTTGCCCAAGGTAACATTGTTCAGGAGGTGTCAGAATAGGATCCTAACTCTACAACCTGTGCTCTTTACCCCTCTGCCTAAAAGAGCCCCCTGGGCCAACTGCTATTTATTTTCTTACTGGATTCTGGGTTTCTGGCCTGTCTTCAGCCTTACTCATAGTGATCCTATAGTGATCCTGGAGAATCATCCAGCTTCTCCAGGTTGTAGTACCCCTTCAAACATCTGCACGTGCATGGCAAATATGGTTTGAGTTTCTAAAACTTGAGTGTGCACCTAGGAAGCAGAAAGCAAATGGAGCATCTCCTGAGTCAACAGTGCAGATGCTCCCTCTTGAAAATGACTTTTCCTTTCCAGGCTCTCTGACTCCACAAAAGGAAGTGGAAAAGTTAACCAGTGCCCAATAAATGTGGGTTATTGCCCCCTGCCTGAGTAATTTATCACTTGCTGGAACTAACTTCAGAATTGCTTTGAGTCCATGTCATGTTACTCCTGGGAATGGGCTATTATAAGATTCTGAATGACTGTTATGCAGTTCCCTATGGCTGTGCTTGCACAGGAGAGGTTGAATTAGGAAGTTGGAAATCTACTGTTTTCTGATTTTGGCTTCTCAGCTGAATGTAAATAAAAAGATGGAAGATAAAATGTAGAAAACGGCATTAACTTGATTAGGGGTCTTATTTGCATAAAAGAGTCTTTGAATCACAATTACCCTCTGGCTTTGGACCCAGCTTTTCTTGCCTTTCCTATTATCTGGTCCAAGGTCATTACTAAAAGGCTTCCTGTTTCATGGAAGAGGACTTACTGAAATATTAATTTCATTGCCTGAAGTAGATTCATAATGTCTGGTGAATAACCTGAGGTTCTATCAGAATCACTAAGGTAAGAGTTATTTTTTATGCCTTTCGAAAGATGGTTCAGGAATTTGAGTAATAGGCAGCTAAAAGTTCACTTTCATTTTGCCTGTCTTTATGACAGAAATGAGCAGATATCTTTATGTCCTTTGGCAATTACTGCAGTGAAACAACTAACTGGATAAGGTGCATGTTCAAGGAGGTTTTTTAGTTTTACATTTTTTTCATTTAATTGTACTGTGACTGAGTTTGAATTTGATGTATAAGACTCTAGGAAAGAAGTGAACTTGTGACATTTAAAGCTTGGAAACATTTTCCTTTTCTTCTCCTTTTTTAAAAATACAGATAGAACTTGAATATTCAAGATTTTCTTGAATGTCTTTTCAGTTTGTAACTGCTTGTAACACAAAAGCTTGACTTACAATGCTGTTTTTTCTTGTTCTTTTGCAGCCATGGCTGTATGTGTAATTTAATCCAGTGTATTTAAAAGAAGTTGCATTCTTCCATGGTAGAGGTAAAAGCCCCCACTCTCCCTTAGTAGTAACTAATAGTAATACTTGCAAGCACAATTACTTGAAACAAAATGAAACCCCCCCAAAAAAAAAAAACCCAAAAAACCAAATCCCAAACTGTAATTGAAGGTTTTTGCATCAATGTAGACAACAGCCTATACAGCCTAAGGTTGTAACAGATACATTTTGAGTGAGTTTGGCTCATTTTATTGACATATTGTTTTGTCTGTTGTGAGTAGACATGCATTATTCTTGGCTCAAATAATACATATCCATTGACAAAAGCCAGCAACTTACTTACCTGGTCTCATTTTTGGAAATGTCCTGGGAAGTTATTATTTTATTGTTCTTTTCAGCTGGTTTTGCTCAGTTACTCAGTAGCTTTTTGCAGAACTGTTTTCCAGTCTATTTTATAATCCACATCCTTGTAGAATCCCCCCCATGCCCCCCTTCCTGCCACATTGCTGGAATCATTTCTGTTTTTACTTTGTAAAGCAGTTTGCTTAATGTCACAACAAAATAAAGCATGGATTAGAAACAGCATTGCAGTTTCAGACTTAATGCCTTTGTGACATCTCATTGCTATGCAAATGAGATTCAAGGAGGTCATCCCTTTAGCAGTTGCTCTAGCCCTGGTATCTACTTGATATTCGTTGGCCAAACTTACTAAGCATTCATTACTGAGCTATCCTGGGTGTTTAACTCTTTGTTAGCTTTGGACTTTCTATCTGAGGCTCCTGAGCTTAACAGCTCCTTCTTGGGAGCTCCTCCTTGTGAGTAAGGCTTTTCATTTCAGGATCTCCTTGCAACTCTCTTTTGCTTCTTAGCATTGCAGGCACCTCAGCAAATGGAGTACTCATATTTAAAAGATACACTTAATTATATGCCAAGACAGTATTGCAAAAGCTCATTTGTGATGTGTTTCTTTGCTGTTTCAAGTATTTTTATGATTGCAAAATACTCTGTTTTTAGATAGATATTTTATTTACCTGCATCTGTGATGAGTTCTTAAAGATATTTCACAGAAAATGGGTCTGTGCTGGTAAATGTTCATGTAATACTTATTTTAAAATTAAATTTTCTGTAATTCAAATTTGATTTCATCTGATTGAGCAGATGTATTAATAGTTACTGAAGGTGGAGGGGTCCAATTTTAATTCAGTAAGAATCAACTACCTTTAACGAATACAGAATGTTGCTGGTGTTTCATTTGCTTAGTTAAAGGGTATTATTTATTTATCAGTCATTAGTCTGATAGATGTTTTTATTTTAAAATATGCTTGTAAAAGTAAAATTAAAAAAAATCCCATTTGAATGAGCCTTTTGAAGTTTGAGAAACTTGCCATGTTTTAAATGGTTAACTAATTGAGTAATTATTCTCTTTATATTATTTTGGCACAGTGGAGTTATTTTTACACACCTGTAGATACAAAGCTGTCAAGACACTGAGTCTGCACTAAGAGTTTGGCTAAAATCACTGCTAACTCAAGGAAAGCACACTTTACACTCTTACACTTGATATAAGAAAGCTTAGGAACCAGAAAGAAGGACATTCATCTTACACCGTGATCTCCTACACATTAAGAAATAGAATGATGACATTGATGGCAAAGGTGATTTGAGCAACTATTGTGTTTAACATTGAGAACTCTAGGATGAGGATTTGACTCTTTTCAAGGATTAAGAACACAATCCTGGATTAAGGTATCGAATCAAACACAAAATTCTTTAAAGATGCTGCTTTAGACTTTTATAAAACAGACCTTTCCAAAGTGTCTTACCTGTCTACTGATGGTAAGGGACTCAGACATCTGATAAAGACAGGTTTTCTTGAATTCTGCTGAGAGGCATTAATCCTTCACAATCTTAATAAAGGACAACAGAAAACTACTAGTGGTTAAAATAGGGGAAAAATATTTGTATGGCAACTTAAGTGCAATTTTTAAAGTAAAAGCTTAGAACCACCTTTTTTTTGGTAGGATCTTTCATCTCCTATGCTGTTCTTCACTGACTCATAAATGTTCTCAGGAGCCTATTATACTGAGGCAGCTTGCTGGGTGCTAGGAGGTCAAGGAGATAAATAAATCACTGTTCTTGACCTCAAGGAGTTTAAGATCTGTGGATGAAATGAGACCTATAGGCAATTATCAAGAAAGAAAAATTGATATTGCTGTAGTTCATGTGTTCTGCTTGTTCATACATGAAAGTGTGTTTCTGAACTACCAGGGAATTGGTTTCGTATCTGAATCTTATGGTCACCCCTGGAAATAGGACTTATATTCAGTGCTGGCACATCCTGATATAGGAGCTGGGCATGGATTATTATTCAGTAACTACTACTTAAGGAGTCAGAGTTCTGAGCTTGATGCTCTTGATCTATCCTGGCAATTCGTATTTATCCAAGGAACAATTAGAAGGAAATGTTATTTTATTTAGTGGATGTGTTCCAGGGAAAAAAATGTGTACTTTTCGGAGGACTGTTTTTTTTTTAATTGTGGTAAAATCTTTCACTTAAACTTTGCAAGTTATTTTTTGTAAAGAAACAAGTATAATTTATGAGTTGTACATTTGGGATTATGAAACAATGCTAGAAATGTAAAATTGGGTAATAGTTGTATTGAATTTGTAGATTATCCTAGTGCCTGGCAGCTGCCTGTTTCCTATTGTCTTCTTTTTTCCACCTAAACAAGTGTTGAGTACAAGAGCTGTTGAATTGAAATCAACCAATATTGAATAAAATGAAAAGGGGAGACAAAGTTAAAGAGTATGTATTAGCTAAATTGAGATAAAGTCTGAATTTCATTTGTCTCTGCTGTCATTGTTTCCATTACCACAGATGATTCAATTGAATGTGTGCAGGCGTCGGTGAATTATAATAGCAGTTAAGTTTTCTTTTGGGGCTTTTGGGAAAAGTTTTAAAAATGAATTTCCTCAGAGTTAGATGGAAATGTTTTTTGTTGAAAGCCTTGATTTAAAAAAAAAAGACTTGCTTTATGTTTTAGAAACTTGTCTTTTTCCTAAATAGAAAACTTTCAGAAAACTTTAAAAAAATTAATAGGTTAAATATTTTGCATCCTGCCAAATTTATTGTTCTAGCAATCTGCTTTCTTGTTACAAAGCATACTGGTTAATAGAATGCTTCACACTGACTCTTGTCATCAGTGTTTGCAAATGTAATGTTAGAGTTCTCCCTGGATCCTTGTCCTGATAATAGGATAAAATGCTACCAGATGAGCCACAGTACTTTGGTTTGTGGTCTGGAGTTTGAACCATAAGCCAAGGACTTTAGTTTTAGATCCAGATTCCAAACCATGAAATTTTGATTTGGGTATCATTTTTAAACAATGGAACCAATCTTTATTAAAATATTTTAAAATAGAAAGCTTCAACTATGTTATTACTCTTTGCATATAACAATTGATAAAGATCAAAATTTAAGGAAAAGAACATCCGAATAAATTTAATGTCTTTCTTATTATTCATTATGATTCATATTCTAGTCCATTTCTTATATGCACGCCTGATTAGAATGTTACTCTCTGCCTTACCACTCTTTCCTCAACTCCAGAGTCAGAATCTCTTTTTTGTGTGGGTATTTAGAAGAGAACTTTGAAGTAGCTTAACTCACAAAGACCGTGCAGCTGTTAAATAACATCAGAACAGGGAGGTAAATTTTTGAAAGGTGAGATTTTGAGATTATCATATTTTCTTTTACTGTGTTTATGTCATTGGTTCCCTGGCTGAACTTTGTGCTTCTTTTGGGCAGAAACCCTTTCAGTCCTCCTTTTATAACCCTTTTATGGGATTGCTAGATTGAGTACATAAAAATCCGGACTCCCAGTTAAATTTGAAAAACAACAACTAATTCTTTAGCACAAGTATGTCCCAAATGTTGCACGAGACATATTTTATCTGGCAACTTGGCTCTTGCACAGATCACAGCTTACCCTATAAAAGGTATTGAGAAAGGTTTTGCTGAATGACTAAAAGAGCTTGCAGGTAGAAATATCTGGTAGTTGGAAATACTAATTTACAGCAAGCACAGTAGAGCTTTAATCAGGAGTCACCAGTGCATGCATCGGTGGTACCTAAAGTCCTGGGGATTGTCCAGGGTGATTGTATAGACCAGTAATTCTCAAACTTTAATGAGCATCAGAATCACTTGAAGCATTTGTTAAAACATAGATTCCTATACCTAGTCTCATAATTTCTGATTTAGTAGGCTTACGGTGGGGCTTAAAAATTGTATATCACATTGTGGTTTTGATTTGCATTTCTCTAATGACCAGTGATGATGAGCATCATCTCACACCAGTTAGAATAGCGATCATTAAAAAGTCAGGAAACAACAGATGTTGGAGAGGATGTGGAGAAATAGGAACGCTTTTACACTCTTGGTAGGAGTGTAAATTAGTTCAACCATTGTGGAAGACAGTGTGGTGATTCCTCAAGGATCTAGAACTAGAAATACCATCTGACCCAGTAATCCCATTACTGGGTATATACCCAAAGGATTATAAATCATTCTACTATAAAGATACATGCACACATGTGTTATTGCAGCACTGTTCACAATAGCAAAGACCTGGAACCAACCCAAATGCCCATGAATGATAGACTGTATAAAGAAAATGTGGCACATATACACCATGGAATACTATGCAGCCATAAAAAAAGGATGAGTTCATGTCCTTTTCAGGGAAATGGATGATGCTGGAAACCAGCATTCTCAGCAAACTAACACAAGAATAGAAAACCAAACATCGCATGTTCTCACTCATAAGTGGGAGTTGAATAATGAGAACACATGGACACAGGGAGGGGAATATCACATACCGGGGCCTGTCGGGGGGTGGCGGGCTAGGGGAGGAACAGCATTAGGAGAAATACCTAATGTAGATGGCAGGTTGATGGGTGCAGCAAACCACCATGGCACATGTATACCTATGTAACAAACCTGCACATTCTGCATATGTACCCCAGAACTTAAAGTATAATAAAAAAGAATGTATATCACACAAATTCCTAGATAATGTCAATGCTGCTGCTCTGGGACCACCCTTTGGGAGCCATTATGCAAGCTCTCTGGAGAGGGATTGTCCAACATTTTCTATAAAGGATCAGACAGTAAATATTTTAGCCTTTGTGGGCCACACTGTGTCTATTACAACTATTCAACTCTGCCTTTGTAGCTTGAAAGCAGCCATAAACAATATATGAATGAAGGGGCATGGTTATGTTTGAATAAAACTTTATTTGCAAAAACTGGCTACTGGCTGGATTTGGCCAGTGAGCTGTAGTTTGCAACCCCTGCTTTAGAGTAAGAAAAGATGATAGTTGAGGATAGAACTTGAACATTCAGGTTTAAGAAATGGGCAGAGGAAAAGGAATCAGAGAAAGAACCATCTGCGCAATGGGGGAAGACCCAGGGGAGGGGAGTGTCATGGAAGCCAAAGAATCAGATTTTCAAGAATGAAAGCATGCGTCACTCTCATCTCCTGTCAGCAGGGTGATTAAGGATGAGGAAGTGGATGAACGCTGAAAGAGGCCATTGGACTTGGCAGTTAGGATGCCATGACTGACTGTCGACTGAGCAATTTCAATGGATGTGGGGAGGGACCTCTGCCAGATGGCAGTGGATGGAGTGAAGAGGGAGGTGGAGGCAGCAAGTACTGAATACTCTTTTAAGAAGTTTGGCAGTAAAGGAAAGGGGAGGTGGTTGAAGTTGAAGCTTAAGGAGAAAGTTGGGCCCAGGAAGGTTTTTAAGAGGCTACGAGGAAAACAAATATGCATGTAGGCAGAGAGGAGAGGGCTGGTAGAAACAGGAGCCTGAGCTTCAGATGCATTGTCTCCTGAGTGGTGCCCCATGAGTTGTGCACCATGCACTGAAAAGGGAGCAGATGAAAATGTAGGAGAGGAGGGATAATTAAATGAGAAAAATTCTTCAAAGAAACAGGACAGGAAAAGGATTAAGACAGTGTGCAGCTGGTATACCTTGGACTGGAAAAGGGGAACTATTTGCTCTAAGACAAAGAGGGGATATGGATCATTTCAGCAGGGGGAGGAGGAGAAGAAGGAAGAAGGTGAGAGACTTTCCAACTGATTAAGTAGGCAGCTAGGCTAGACTGACATGATTGTGGAAAAGGTAGAGATTCTAAGGAAATTGATGAAGGTTTGGAGTAGACAATGTGGCAGCAAGTATGCCAAATGTAAGTACAAGGCTTACCAGGCAGCACCAGGGGCTGTGTTGGGGTTAGAGCTCATATATTAGAACACATACATCACACTGTTATATGGAACTTCCTGTAGTCCACAGCAACCTGGGTACTACAGAAAACAAAACATAGAGGTTACTGAGAGTTGCAGGTTGTCAAGAGATGTGAGTCAGAAGAACATGAAATGATGTAATTTAAGATGCTCATGAATAGGAATATTAAGGAAAACTAGGTGGAGAAAGAAATGAAACTAAGACTGATACATTTGTCACAGGTCAAAGGACTAGAACTCTTGGTGAAAGTGAACCAGTTTAGAGGGAGCTCTAAGGGAATTGGAGAGACAGAAGGATTGGAAATTACTAGAGAGGTTGGGATGTCTCAGTGATTCCAGCGACGTGGCAGTTCCAAGGAATGACAAGGGTCTGGGGTGTGGCTGTGGAATTAGGCTCCTAATGTGGAGCTGAATGAGTGTAGTCAGGAATATAGGTGAGTGTGTTGGGTAGGTTAGCAGGGTGGACCTTGAGCTCACACACAGTGGCAAAATATAGAAGGCTCTTGCCTTACCTGAACCTGTATCTGCCTTAACTTTGGGTACATGGCTGAGCCTTGAAACCATGTCTTTTTTTTTTTTTTACTTTTGTAGGGCTCCCGAATCCCTGCTCCTTTTTGTCCTCTTTTGCTCTTGCTTGGTGTGACATGCCTCTTCTGCAACTGCTGAAGTAATTCACCGCACGTTTTCACTCTTTCCTCATTTTTTCCACCTGGCAGAAGCGTGAAGAAAGATTACAGACACATGGGATACCTCTGTGTTGGTAACTTAAACTTCTGTGACTATCCCTTCCAAATCAGAAGGGAGTCATTTTTCAATTTCCTCTATAAAAGAGAGAGCAAGTCTGTCTTCCTACCAAGCATTACCAGTTGTTAGGCATTGACGAACATTTGCTGGCAAACTCAACTCTGTATTATGGCTGACTTCTTTGCGGAAGTCTGCCTATTGTAAGATGTTTAGGTTCACCTGTTTTTTTTTTTTTTTTTATATTCAAGCTTCTGATTTCAAGTTTCAGATTACCTCCTAAAAATGAACTAGATCCCTTTCCATTAAAAAATGCAAGTTCTTAGGGCATTGTGGCATGAGCCTGTTGTTGCAGCTACTCAGTAGGCTGACGCTAGAGAATCCCTTGAGTCCAGGAGTTTGAGGCTGTAGTGTGCTGTGCTCCTACCTGTGAATGGCTACTGTACTCTAGTCTGGGTAACACAGCAAGACCCTGTCTCAAAAAAAGCAAGTTCATGTAGATAATAACTTTAAAATTAAATAAGAATAACATTTAAATGAACATTTAAGAAGTATTTAAAAGAAATGATTAAAATGGTTTCCCCATAGAGGATTCATCTTTCAAAAGGAGTTATCTTCCTATTGCCCTCATCTTTCCTTTTTCCCTCAGTCTTACTATGCAAACATTTTCTTTCACCCACAGAAAAGAGAGCTATGTTTTAAATTCATCTTTGAAGACTATTTTTTGCAGGAATGGCTGCATTTATATCTCATACTCTCATGTATCAGTTGCAAAAATCAGATAAAATGAATTGGAAGAGTATATCATTTTTAGTATTTGAATCAACACATCTCACACTAGATTTCATGTCTCATACAGATGGCATTACCCTCTGCATACTTTTCCTCCAGTTTGGAATTGCCAAAAGAAAGATGTAAATACGAAAGGTAATGGATGTTGGAGAAAGATTACTAGAATAGCTGTCAGGTGTTATAAATACCATATCTGTATTGCTAGAATGCATGAAAGTTTACGCTTTGACTAAATCTGTGCAGAAAAATTTACCCTGTACTTGCCACCCATCAGCACTTTGAGAATGCAAACATTAAGAAAACAATTTTAAATTTATTTTAAAGTTACCCCCAATTTTCTTTGTTTATATTGTCATTGTAGAAAATAGTAGATATTGGAAAAAGAGAAAGAAGCAATTGATGGGAACAGTACTTGGAATTCAAACATAAGATTTCAAAACTTAATATATCAAAATGACACACTCACATGTATTTTAGTAAGGCATATAGTTTCTGTTAAAACTACCTGGCCCATACAGACAATTCCCAAGGGGCAGAATAAATTCCAAACACATAGCTACATTAATGATCCAAAAAAGATATAAGAATCATGGAACTTTAGGGCTGGAAGAAACTTTAGAATGAATCTGGTTTAATCTTACAGATAGATTGAGGTTCGGAGAAAGTGAATGGATTACCTACGATCACATAACTAAGTAGGGCTAGAATCCAATATTCTAACATCTGAATTCTGTGGTCCATCACAAATTGGCCATCTAAATTTCAGCATTTTAATATTTATAACATTTAAGGGTAAATTTTAAGGTTGGGGTGGCCATTTTAAAACACTTATTTGTTATTTAAAAGTAAGTTAAAGTACCTGCGTTTTGTTCATGAAATATGGTAACATTTTGACAGCTGCATCACTCTGGAAACAGACGTCATTACCTCAGATGAACTTGCAGGGAGTAATTGAGATGGCAACGATGATCAGAAGGAGAATGGAAGATTGTGATAAGGCAGCCTGTGTTTGTGTGTACAGACTCACCACCTGTGACTTAGGAGAAGGAAAACGCAGAGGCACGTGCAATCTGAAATATGTCTCTCACTCATCAATCAGTGTTTATCAGAATTGGAGGTCTTAGCAAGTGAACTGAATGCTTTCAATCCAGGCATGTCAGTGATTGCCATCGACCAAGCATTCTGTCACACCTGCCTGCTTTTCTTTCTTTTTCTCTTTACTTCATTACATATTGATTGACTTGGGTTTTACAAGTTCATAAATCACCCTCTTTTAAGAGGCTTCTTGGCTTTTGTGTGCGTAGACTTGAGAGTGCTGGGAAAGACTGATACTCGTATCACAGTAACAAAGAACTTCATATTCCCTCCTTCAGCTTCATATGCAAAAGTGAAGCATCAAAAGACAGTGTCATTATGAAGAAATAGATTTCAATACAGTGCAAACACCTTATAAAAACCTGAGGTGCCAGCAGCAAACCCTCCTCCATCTGATGGAAGCTCTTGTGTTGCACCCATGAAGTCATTGGAGAGAGCTTGAGAGACTTTACAACCAAGAAGAGGATTTAATATTAACTACATAATGAGATGCCACTCTTGTAAATAATTGCAGATATTATTACCTGATTGCAAATCTATAATTCTGGTGCAAGATAGAACAGACTTTCATCTGTCATAAAGTGCTTCCCTGTGGTAGAAAAATAGATGAGGTGATACGTATGATTTCTTTCACTCTTAAAATTTTCTGGTTGTAATAATTTTATGAGTTGAAGTCTTATTGTTATTATTTTTATTTAAAAAGATTAATTGCTCTCTGCCCCGGACATTTTAAATTCTTTTATAGATGAATCCTAAACCATTTGTTTCTTATTGTTTACAGATACGAAGTGGTACATAAATTCTGCAAGGATATTTTTCTATTTTTAGCATCTAAGTTTTTAATTGTAATATAAATCAGTTATATGACATTTTAAATTCTTGTTTGATAGGCAGATCTTAAAACATTCATTTCTTGCTGTTTACAGACACAAACTGGTATATGAACACTGAAGGGAGAGTATTCTAATTTTAACATCTAAGCATTTTTATTATAATATAAACCAGTAATAGAGTTTCTATTTTTTATGGAAAGGCCTATGCAGTTGTACAATATTAATGCCCAGCGTCCTCTTAAATAACAAGTCAGTCAACTTTGTAGGTTGGTAGTCCAGTATTAGCAACAAAAAATTATATTCCAAGCAGTGTTTAACAGCTGATTTAATTGGGAGGTATTTGGTTATTCCTTTCTGAATTAATTTCTGACAGCAAATTTAATACATCAGAAGGGAAAAAGAAAGCAAAACTGCATTCAAGAATGTCTGTAATTAATAGAGCTGACTTCTGAAGAGCTGCTAAACTCTTACATGTGAGAAGTGGCTTATTCTGGAGGGACAGTGCTTTGAAAGAGAAAAACAATTGAGGCTTGGGAAGGAGGTCTCTCAACCAATTTCCACTTCATTGCTTCAGAACCATTTTTTGTATTTTCTCTATAAGGGTAAGGCAGGAAGAGGACAAGAAATGTTCTGGGAATAGCTGTCGTTTCTTAGTGGAGTTTGCAAACAGAATTTGCAGGCATAAGTGTGTCTTTTGCACCAGTTTAGTAAAATGACATCCGCTCTTACAATGTTGCTACAGAAAGTCAAATCAATGGAGTGATGTGATAAAGATAGTCATATTTACTGTGGATCAGTCAAATTCTATGGTACATGTGGTGTTTTCTTAGGATACTTTTAGTAAATATACAGATTCAGAAAAGTTCCCTTTAAGCCAGAATAAAAACATTCAAGTCCTCCAGCAATAATAAGCATTACTATTAATTAAAAACTGACTATTCACCAGACACTGTGCTAGGTACTGTCTAGATAGTCTGATCAGTTTCATTGCTTCCGAGGTAGGTTCTGTCATCCATCTTTACAGATGAAGCCCTTGAACCTAAGGGAGGTTACCTCACTTGTTGGTGGGCTCACACAAGTGATAGAACCTAAATGTGTTTTAGATCCTTGTCTTCCTTAAAAACTATGGTGTAAGTAATGTTATATATAGTGCATCCAATTATTTGTCTTAATTTCTTTAGGAATATTTAGAATGTGACAGGCAAAAAAAGCAGGTACTTAATTCTTAAAACACTTGAAAATAATTGATGAAGTTACTGAAATAAAATTGCCTCATGATGATCTGATTGTAGATTTTTCTACAACCAGTTAGTTTTCCTATTCTAGTTTTCTTACCTTTCACTTCTCCAATAATATGCTTATAAACTTCAAATTTATTTTAGTATTAATTAAAGTAGAAATATAGTTTAAAAATCATCAGTTTACTGGGAAAAGACCCATGAGTTATATTTTTTAATTATGAATGACTTTTGTATTGATTGAATAAATAAGAAATTTGAGTGCCTACTGTGCCTACTTCTAGCCAGGCTTTCTCAAGCCCCAGGGGTATATGATGAACAAGACAGATAAGGTCTCACCCTCATGAAGCTTATTGTTTTTTGAGAAAAGAGATAATAAATGAGTAAGCAAGATCTTATTTACTTTTATCCATTATTGTAAGTTACCGATGATCCAGAAAGGCTCTATCAGCAAGCTGAGTGTATGTTGAAAATGCTATTAGTATGCTTGGGAAACCATATCTTTTCTTCTATTTTGCTTTAACAGGCCTGAAAATTCTACACAAGCCAACTTTTGGTTACTTTTAGAGATGTTTAGGTTATCTGGGCCTCTGTGTTACTCCATTTTCAACAGTTACCACGTCATGACTTAGCAAGGCTTGGAATGCCTTGAGCTGTTAAGAAATGTGTGAGGAATGGAAGCTGCTTGGCATGATGGAGCTTCTGCAGAGGTCCTCTGGAGTCAAAACCCACACATCAGAGAAGAATGAAGTGTCAGAAGGGAAAATGCAGAAAACTAATTTAGCAACTTTGCCTAACACTAGCTTTTTGCACAACCCTTGGAATTGAGAGCTCTTTCTATTAAGTTGTGTGTCTGCATGAAGCAAGGTCAATGGAATGGAATGAAAAGTGAAATCCTTTGGGTTTAACTACTTTTGTTTGTGTGCATCTCGACCACACTAACAAACCATACTGGTTAGTGTGACCAGTATGACATGGTTATACTGGCATGGTTAAACAGCTGTAGAGCTAGGACCATTATGACCATTTCATAGGAGTCCTATGCTTACGGTTCTTTGAGATGACATCAAAGAGAGAACAGTCTTTCTCTAAATCATGTCAACAGAGAACCTCAAAGAATTTACTTGGCTGCAAGCACTGTATTGGAACCATGTATCCTTTCCTTACATTTTCTTTTGTTTCATTTCCTTTTCTTTCTACTGTTGTGCCTTGGCCCTGTCCAGTCACTTGCTGGTGTGAAAGCTGTTTCCTAACACATAGTTCTCTATGCTGGCTGTGCATCAGAATCAGGGGAGCTCTAAAAGACAGATTCACAAATCCCACTGACTTAGGCCACTTACTTGGCAAAGAATAAGCAAGTAACTGCAGCTAAACCTTCCTCCAGTAGCAATATGATTAATTATTTCTCTATGAAGCCCCACCAGCAAAACTGCTGAAAAGGCATCTCTTCATCAGGCCCCCATCCTCCCCTCCTGCCCTCTAGAACTTTGGGTAGGGAGGAATACATTGCAGATATTCCATTTGGCTTTTCCTAGGCAGCTTGACTATCACACTGAGACCACTAGTAAAGCTTGGGTACCTCCTGCTCCTGTTACAATTATTGCCACCCCTTCCTTTTACTGCTGCCTTTTGCTTGAATCAGGCACTGTTTTGCAGGCTCACTTGCCTCTCTCCCATTGCCCAGGGTGCCTTGCAGTATGCCTTTTCTTTCCTTTGGGCAGTGCTGGGAGGCCCTAGGCAGGACCCTCACAAGTCTGGCCAAGTTTCTTGCTGTAATGCTGAA
The DNA here is from genome assembly GCF_000001405.40 of Homo sapiens. Lineage (NCBI taxonomy): Eukaryota > Metazoa > Chordata > Mammalia > Primates > Hominidae > Homo > Homo sapiens. The sequence continues at coordinate 20,932 of NW_013171808.1, forward strand.
GCTGGTTCTCCCTTTTCCCTGTTTCTGAGTGGAGCTAAGAAATGCATCTACTCAGAGGCAGCAAAACAAGTTCATCACACCATGTACCCAACCTTCCACTCTTCCATCTCTGGGATGCCTTCTGCTCCCCTTGCTCTTACCAATGTACTTTAGATTTGAGCCCTCTTCTTTTTGGAGGTTCTCTTCAGTTGATCTATCGTCAACTTGGCATAATTAGTCATGTAAAACACTAACTTCCTAGTGATCAGCATTGCCCTTTGTTCTTAATATGATTTGCATATTTCCTGGGTTTCTGCTCTGAGCTGTTCCTCTGTGGAATGGGCCTTGGTGCTCTCACTTGCCAAGAACACCTAGGACATATTTATTGGCTCTTTGGAAAGGAAACCAACTGGGAAGCTTAAGTATGTGGGATTTATAGAGAGCATTTCTTCACAGTAACTCAGGTTTCTTTTAATATGAAGCAATACTATTTTTAGTCAAAATTGTGACTGTGGTTTAGTCATATTTTTTCTCCCTAGTACTTTTTTAAGAGGTGAGTTTTAAGAAAGTCAGATTTTGTGAGGAATTTGTTTACTGCAGAAACATCCAAGGTAAATGGTCCGGGATGAAAGCAGATTCAGAGTTATAGAATATTCAGTTGGAAAAGATCACATTGCAAATTCCTAGATCACTTGGAGATTTGATTCACTTGGATGTGGATACTTACTAATTCAAATCAGTTATCAGTAGTTTTCTAAACTTGTAAAGAAATGGCATCGTTTATTTGCATTGAAATCCTTCACAGAAGCTCCAAATTCAAAGCAGATAAAAGCAGAACTTCTCTGGTTGCAAGGAAAGGAATCACCACACTCTGATGGGCTCTGGGTTAAGAGTTCTTGCATCATCCTCTCGTTCTTTCTCCCCAGTATACTGTGCTCCCTAGAAGACAGAGGCCACATAGAAGCCCAGCAACGCTGCCTTCTGTCATCTATTGAAATTGTACACCCTCTTTCACACCAGGGGCTGTGTTCTCCACACCCAAATATGGACAATGAGACAAGATTTAAGAAATGTTGATATCCTGAGAAATCTCGCAGAAGGAGCCAAGATTCTGAATTAATCAGAGATAAGTTTTATTTTATTCACCAGACTGTTACAAAGATAAAAAGCTGTATTAATGCATTTTAGAAAGATTTTAAGGGGCAATGTGCGTAAAGAAGTTTCAAACAGTTTAAGATCCTGCTGGCTGGAAATATTAACCCTCTCCACTGAACATTTGAGAAAATTAGGACATTTTTATATATTAAAACTTTCAAATCATTAGGTAGTGGGGAGACTTGGATAAATTCCAAACTAATTTTTGATGTTAGGCTAGGAAGTAGAAAACTACTTATGGCATGTTACCCTATGGAAATTTTACTCCTAGGAGTCACACAGAGCCATGGTGAGGTCAGGGGAGGGTTGGTAGCCATCTTTCATTGTTATTATTATTATTATTTTTTGAGGTGGAGTTTCACTCTTGTCACCCAGGTTGGAGTGCAATGGCATGATCTCGGCTCACTGCAACCTCCCCCTCCCAGGTTGAAGAGTTTCTCCTGCCTCAGCCTCCCGAGTAGCTGGGGCTACAGGCACCTGCCACCATGCCCAGCTAATTTTTGTATTTTTAGTAGAGATCGGTTTTCACCGTGTTAGCCAGGCTGATCTTGAACTCCTGATCTCAGGTAATCTGCCTTACTCGGCCTCCCAAAGTGCTGGGATTACAGGTGTGAGCCACCTCACCCAGCCACTCATTGTTATTTTTTAACATCAGCAATTGGATCAACATTTCTACTGAGCAGGAAACATATCCAAAATTTATAGCAGCAAATATAATAGCTACTTTGCCTTTGCGGAAGCTACAGCTAAAGTTAACTCTGACTAATGTCCCTATGAAGAGCATGAGAGATCTGTACCCTGACCCTTCAGACCCAAGTGGCTACCTGTGCTGTGTCCCCTCACAGGCCCCTCCCTGGGTTTGTAGCAGTGATCCTAACTTTATTTAATAATTATTTGCATACTTTTAACTTTAGTTTAAAAATGTTTTAATTAATTAGATAATTTTTTATTTTAGGGTTTTTTTTTAAAAAAAAAAAAAAGGAAAAACTCTCAGTAGCTTACAAATACCTCGTGGGCAGATACAACATTTGTCTACCTCATTGGATACTCACTCCCTAGCACAGTCCTTGCCACAGAGTATGGACTCACTACATAAAAGCATATTAAATATATGAATGACTGATTGAATCACTGAGGAAACAAGCAGATTTCTACATTTTCACCAGTGGAGAGGAGCCATTATGGGCACTCTGAATATTAAGGAGGCATTCTAATAGAGTACTTAAGAACATATTGCTCTGAACTGGGTCCTCCTGTGCCAGTCTTCAGCTGCTGTGATGTTGGAATTTTCCTAACTTTTCTGTGCCTCGGTGTCCTCTGCAAAGAGGGGATAAGAGTAACACCTGCCCTATAGAATTTTATGGCAATGAAACAGAGTCTGGCGCAAGTGCTCAACATTTGAAGGAAAGGGTCTATATGAATGAACCTGCTCTAAAACTAAGTAAAGGAAAAATTCCATGTCATTCATATTTCACACTGTTGCGAATAGGTAACAGGGCCTTTGTTATGACAAAGATGTCAGGAGTGGCTGAAACCAGAAACAGCATTCATTGCCCAAAGAGTCGAAATGTGGAGGTGACATCTACCCCATGACACAGAAAATTAAGTAAAACTAGAGTGTTGCACTCTGCTGTAAATATCCTTAGCTTTTTGTGAAAAACTGTCCTAAAAAGCACAAAAATCTATCATTCTTTTCAAGATATTGAAGTCTGATAATAGAGAAAACTTGTTGCTGAGTCTAAATAACACTGAATATCTTTGGCTGTTTTTTTCAGCTCTCCTTTTATTGTTTCTCTTTGATTTAGGATCTATCTTTTGGCACAGTAAATAGGTCCTTTATGGAATAGGACATGGAGTTCCAGGAGGCAAATGGGTGTCCAGAGAAGATCGCCCTTAAACGAGTATACACTATTTAATCTACACACATTATTAAATGCTCCTGATTTCCCTCAGCAACAGAGGGAATGCTTTAAATATTTGGAATTTAAAGTTTAGGAATTTCCAGTGATCACAATTGTTTATATATATATATATGAAAAATATATGAAAAAATGTGACTCATTTATAGAGTTGATAAAACACTGTGGGTCATAAGATAAAATTCGAGTTATTAATATTATGAACAAATAAGGAGATAAATAAAAAAGAGATAGGGAATTAGAAAACCAAAGTGTGAAACCAAAAGAAAATCCATGTATCATTTGGCATGTGTAAACCAAGCCCTTTCTAAATGCAAGGTGCTGAGATTCTTTGAAGCTTAATCATAATTTAAAGGTTTGTATCACATTAATATTTATTATGGATTTACTCTGGGCCGTAGGATGTTTTGTGAAAAGCATCATGCATATGTTATGTTAAGCTCATCACAATTCTATGAGGTAGGTATTGTTAGGTTCATTTTTAAATTGAGAAAATAAGTTTAGAGACCTGACTGAATTTGTCTGAGATTATATAGCGAATAAGTTGTGCAGCCAGGATATGAATCCAGATCTTCCCTAATCCCAGTGCTGTGTACTCTTGACCACAATTAGGCTGTAAATCGTATAATCTCAGCTGTTGGGAAGCTTGGATTCCTTGTAATAGTAGCAACATGTCCTATGTTGATGAACAAACTTTGCTCCTCTTCCTTACTGAATTTTTGAGGGTTTTAGAACTCTGTAACCTGCTCTTGACCTTTCTGGTGTCAGCTTAAAAAAAAATATCCAAATAAACTCTTGTCCCTACCTCAGAGGTTGTCACTTCTTTTAAGAATGACAGAACCAAAAAATAAATTCCCATGTGCTAAGACTTGTGGGAGAACAGGTATGCTGAGGCTCATAAATGCATAAAAGCCTGATGTGATCTTTTCCATTTGTACCTAGGATTGTCTTGTCTCCTTGCAAAAAACAGAGATCCTGGTTTTAACGGCTGTTTGTAATTTCAGCTTGGGTCTTGTTATAAAGTTTACATTTAAAGCTTTGCAGTGGTACCAGGTTTAGGGTAAATTTGAAAGTAGCTGTGGGGGAGATGACTTTAACATTTCCCCAGGGAAGTAGACTGGAAAATTGCTGGAGAGTGAACTATAGGGAACAATCTTGAATTGGTCTCTTGGGTCGGACATAATTACCTAATGGATTTTCCATCTTTCAAAATTTTAGGCAGGAAAAAATTGCCTAAAAAAATATCGACAAAATGTGAAGCGTACAACCTGTTCCAGTTCTCTTCAAGACTGTAAACTCCTGGCCTTCTCTGGAACCTTTGAAAAATGGCAGTGTAGTGGAGTAAAGACAGGCAAGGGGAAGACATGTGGAAGAGAAGAAATCAGACTGATGCATGATTGGAAACTCAGAATTACATAACTCGATTTGTCCCTTTTAAGTCATTACTGACTGCTGATTCATCTCCATTCATGAATGTTTTGGGTGCAGTTAGAACTACATTTTAATGAACAATATAACCTAATTATGATTGAGCATTTTACTTTTCCATGGACTGTAAAGATATTTGTTGAGTGGCTTAGAGGTTTGCATACCAGAGTTTCCTGGTCAAAAGCGTGCATTATGCAATCAGTTTTTACCTCAAACATTCACATATGGATTCCCCTATCTTGCTTGGTTACTTTATTGGTACCAAGAACATGAAACCTCTTTCTTTCTTGCACCCCCAGGTATATCCCAATACATGTTCTGTTTTAATGTAATTTACTATTATTCACATTGCTTAAGGGATGACAAAGTATCTACTTGTTCTCAAGTTTTATTACTGGCTGATGTGTGTCAGACTAGACTTGGCTCTGTATATAAATATACTCCAGTAGAGAGACCCAGCCTCTGTGATCCCAAATACATTCATTGGAACAATAAGTGTGAGTGCTTGCTATGTGCCTAGCATGTTACAGCTGAGATGGACCCACAAGTGAAACAGACACTGCTGTGTTTCTTTCTTGAGTAGGAGAAGTAAGTCATGGACAGGAGAAACTAAAGCACTAGGTATACAAAGGCAAGAGCTCCAAGGGATCAAAGTGCTGTCATATTCAAACAAGGGGTCTGCCTTGAGGGATCGTGGGAGAGGGCATTTGCACTAGCTGCAGTCTTGATTGTGCCAAGAAGGAGATGTTCCAACTGGGTATAGGAGCATGAAAGAAGCCCACAGCTGGGGAACACAGAGATGCACTGGGAGGGAGCTGTGTATGGTTTCATTTGATTGGAGTTTTGGTTGTGTGGAGGATGGTAGTTGGAGATAAAATGGGGGCCAAATTTTCAAGATTCCTGGATGTTAGGAAGAGCACTAGAACTTTATTTGTTAGGCAGTTGTGCATCCCTAAAAAATGTGAGCATCTTAACATTATGATGAGAACCATGATTAGTGGAGAGTTACCTGGAGGCAGGCCGTGTACACAAGGAATTGGAGGCACATGGGGGTTAGAGAAAGAGATGCAGTAGAGGCTGGTGAGTTAGGAAGAGTTGTAATAAGGGATGGAGCAGGTGGAATGAAGACACAGAACTAGTGACCAAGGCCTTGTGGAAGAGCCAACACTTTAACCACTGATTCAGAGTGGGATGGAGAGGAAGATGAAGGATTAGGGGTTAGATGGCAAGGAGAAAGATGGTGGCATTAACAGAATTGGATAGGAAAGGAGGAATGTGGTTGGGCTGTGTGTGGGGGGCGGGGGTGGAAGTTGTTGGGCAGGAAAGAGCTATGGCCAAGCTAGTTTTCTTTCTAATCCTGATCTGACACTTCCTTAGCACTGCAATATTAAGTGGTTGTGCCCCTCTGAGCATGCTCCTGCATCTGTAAAATACACCTTTAATTCTTAGGATTCTTTATTTCAATTATTTAAGAGAATTAGAGAATGAAATGGTTCAAGCAGTTCTCAGAAAGTAAGAAAAGGAAAGAGCAGGAAATACAATATGGAAATATGAACTTTCTCCTGCTGCATAAGATTTAAACTCTTGACATTTAAAGCGGAAAAACACAATTTAAAGAATGACTGAAGGGTATGTTAATTATTTGTGAAGAGGCAGAAGATTCTTCTTTGACACTTAAGATGGCAATAATTTTGAGCAGCACATACATTGGCCATGTTTATAATTATGGCTAATTGTACAATGAGTAGTAAATAGGAAATGGATTGAAATTTCCAAAAAAAAGACATGAATGGACTTTAAATGAATATTACAAGCTAACAAAAAATAAATAAATAAAAATAAAAATAAATAAAAAAAGGAGAGCTGTACGAAGCCACAAGAAGAGTTCCACCTTGGATTGGTGGTATGGATGTGTTTGTGCTCAGAACTTAGAACTTCAAAAGAACAGAAGTCCTGCTCCACATCTAACAACTTGTAAATAATTATATGGCTTCTAAGTTACTTGAAATGTTATTGAATTGAAATAAATTGGAAGGAAACCAGACCTGCCATTGAAAACCAAAGGACCGAACTTTCCCCAGTGCTGGAGGGAACCTAAACAAAATCTCCAGCTTTTAAAGGAAGAGATTTTCAACCTGCTTTCATCTCCTCTTCCTTTTGGTGTTTTTCCTAGATGGGATGGAAAGCAGAAGATGTGGCTGGGGTGTTTTTAAGATGGAACTGAGTTTGCCCTCAAGTCTTTCAAAGATAAGACAGTTTTACTTACCAGGGAGAGGATCTATTACACCCTGAACAGCTGCTATTTTTGAGGCAGGAAAGTGAAGCTGAAGAGCTTTGTACAGCTGTCATGTAGAATTCTAAGCACCCATTTGATAAAACCTGTCAGCGTGACCCGGTTTCTTGGGCAGATGCAGCCCTTGGCTGTAGCCCCTTTCCTCTCTACCCCTTTCTGTTCGTCAGTTTTGTTTTTGTTTCCTGTTAGAAATATTCCAGATTTAGCAGCTTAAAGTGGTGTGTGTGTGTGAGTGTACAAGCGTGTGTGTGTTTTAAGAGCGGTCATTTGTATGATTGAACCCAAACTCGTATTTCTCTTTCAGGAGTTATATTAAAAAATATTTGACCCAAGGCTCTAGAAATTTTGCCCTATGGGGAAAAGGAAGAGAAGAAATCTTTATCAGCTTTCTTACTTGGTTATAGAAGTGGTAAGGCATGAAATTGGAACTGATGGCTTAATAATAGCTGGACTTACATCCCTTAGTTGAATTTTGCTGACAATTTCTTTAAAATCTTTATAAACTCCCACTTTTAATAGTTCTTTAAGGCTGTTAAGGCTCTGTGGGTAAATGCACCAGTGTAACAAGGCTTCATCCAGGTATGTTACAGGAAATGGGCCATGAACTAATTCAGGACTCATGATGTAGACCAGGAAGCCTATTTTATGTATCTGTAACAAATAGATTGTAAAGTTAATATTATCACCTGGTCCCTTGTCTATCTTGAAGTTTACACAGTGTCGTTACCATCTTAGGTTGTACCTGAGGGGGTATGTATAGTAGCCGGCCTCTCTTTAATAAGTCAAAGTGGACTTTAGAACATCCTTTAATACAAGAGTCGAGACAATTTTGAGAATTGCAAGCTGACTGAGTATGCCAACATGTAGGACATCAGACAGACAGTAAAAAAACTTAAGTGTGGGTATCCTGTTTGCTTTTTGTCCGCAGATGTTAAGCAGTTTCAATAGCTGGGGAAAAATTGTTGTGTCATTATCTGTGGGTAGTGTGCTGATAGTTTATTATAGGGCAGAGTTATTGAAAGAGAAAGAATTGTATCATTTATTCATATTTTAAAATGCTGTGACAATGTACTACTTCAGATGAGTGTTGTCCCCATAAATCATCCTAGATCCCTGTGCTCAGGAAATCTGTGAAAAGATAGTATTTTCAGAGGCAAAATTATTTCAGTTTCTTCACAGGAGGAATTTTAGAACATAAGGAGGAATTCATCCAAACAAGAAAGCCATCTACTGAGCTTACATCATTAAATAGGAAAGGTAAGGAGGGCTACACCCAGTTTAAAGATATCTTTAAGCTATTGTCTCCAACCTGGGGCCTTAGACCTCTGAGTAATTAGAGTATGTGACTGACATGCATTGTTTGTAGACTGAATGAATTAAAACTGGATTCCCCACTATACTTTGGGTACTAAAGGGGCCTCTTATGCAGAAGGATTGGAAACTGTGCTGTAGGGTAAGATATTTTAGGAACAATGCTTTAGTTTTCTCTTGCTCTTTTTGTCTTTTAACTTGGCTATTTTCTTATATATAGAATTTCTGTCCAAAAATCTAACTGTGTGATTTTTTAGCTCAGCTCAGAGTAGCACAACAAAATTACAGCCACCGGTTGGACCCAGTTCAGTACAGCATTCAATCTAAGGGCCTTGTAGCTTCCAAACGTTTGTATTATTCCAATCCCTGGGTGGCATTGTAACATATATTTATTCTTGATTGCTCCAGAGGTTTATTTTAAAAATCAGAATAATAACACAACTAGGTTAAGTGCAATGTACTTTGAAATTCCAAACCAGTAGTTCTTTAACCTATTCATGCTGGTTGGATGACAAGGCATTTTACCATTCTTTTTTATTTAAAATTACCCATATTTGTGGCTTTTAATTAATTATCTAATTAAATGTATTTTATTTTATTTTGCCTGCATTCCAGGTTTTCTTATTTCTATGTTGTTTCTCCTTTATACATATTTACTCTCTCTTTTTTTTTTAAATTCTGAGGTCTCTCGAACAATAAATGGACTCTAGCATTGTTCCCATGTGACCTAAAGAAACTACCATATTAGAAGAGGCTACCATATTAGATTAGCTTTCACTTAACACAGAGGGATCTGAAAAGATGGAATAGTGGTAAGAACCTCCTAAGAAGTGACATTTCATTGGAAATTGGAAATTCTATTGACTAAATCAGGAAATAGAAGGAGACCTCCTCAACTGCCCTTGATTGGTAATTACAGCTCATGGGTAGTTTTAATAGCCTTCAGAATTCCTCATCTTTCCTTCTCATATGTTTTCCTGTAAGTAGTGTCTTTTTCCAGAAGTTGCTTCAATGGTTCTTTTGAGGACTGAATAGAAAGAGCAAATGTGTAGTCACCTTTACTGAGTTCAAAGGAGTTATTTGACATATCAAGCTTTCCCATTGGCTGAAGAAACCTTAGCTCAGAGTTGGTAGACCCAATCCCTGAGCCATTATGAGATACCAGTGATCCTTGGCCTGGTCCCTCAGGTCAGAACTCAGAAAAGAGCAGCAGATACATCCAGAGTCTCAGGGAATTAGGCAAGTTTCTTTCCCCATCCAGTGGAGTTTTTGCTAGACCTCTCTGAAACAGGATACAGCATGATATATTTTTAGTAATTTACAGAAAGAAAATGGAAACAAGCTTTATTTTGATAATTATTTGATATTTTAGTACATATCTCTTGAGAAAACTAGAATGTCCCACATGGGACTGTGATAAGACCAGAGTTAGGAAACATTCTCAGAATACGGGATGGGTTGACAATGCCCATGTGTCTGAATTTACAACACTTGTCCAAAATGCAAGTGGTTGCAAATGGCTCTGAAGGATGCTTGCCAGTGCTGTCATATAAATAAAAGAATACAGAATCATAGAGGCAATTACTGTCGTCAAGGTGGCTACCGAAATGTAGGTATTTCTCTTTAGCCCCGGTTCCCTCATAATAATCTTTCAGTTTTCTCTCTTTTTTTTTTTATTCCTCATTACTTTGTAGCTGGATGCTATACCACATTGTTGATTCTAATAAATGACATGTTGATCTCATCTACCTGGGAATCCTTGGTTTCCAGTTTTCACAGCTTTGTTTCCAGTATTCACAGCTCAGTGCTGGAGAGTTGACCATTTGTGTAGTTCAGCATTTCTCTGTGTTAATCCTGTGAGGGTTGAGTGTTGTCGACAATTCTAGGCATTCTGTCCATCATTTTTTTTTTCTCGATTCACTTATTCTGGTTTTCCTCGGGGTTTTTATGTCATAGCAGAGTCTGGAATTTGGTCTGGAATATATATACACACACATATACACACACACACACCACACACACACATATTATATAATGTTTGCCCTTGTGTTACATTAGACAGTTGTATATAGAAAATTGATTTCTTGAAAAAGATTTCATATCAATGCTATGGGAGCAATATCTGTATCATTGCTTTATAAAGATTTTTAAGGATTTGTGAAAAACTTTTCTTCCTTCCTCTGAAATTTTCTTTCTGATGTGAAGATTACAGGAGATGTGAATATTGGATCTTCTGAGTAAAATTTCATTTATTCTAAAATGTTGAGTGATAAATGTGGTATTTGAATATAAGTGTGTGTGTGTGTGTGTGTATATATATATATATATAGAGAGAGATGCATATATATTTGCATGCTTATAATTTTAACTTTAATTCAAAATGATTAAAAATGAACAAATTATGAAGCATTTGCCCATTGTATCATGTCAGCATTGATCATGTCCTACTTTGTGTTGCTTTTAATTTTCTCCCTCCCTTTTTTCATCTTGATGTCTTTTGTTAGCCATATTTCTAGAAGCCCCAAGAGCAGGGATCTGCATTTGATATTAGCCCTTAGTGGAAAGAAAGCTGACATATACTGAACAACTACTGGGTTCCAGGCATTACGCTAGTGAGGCAGTGCTCTGAGAAGTGCTATAAAGTAGATAATCATTATGCCCATTTTACAGATTGAGAAATTAAGCTGCAGAGTAGTTAATTTACCTATAGACATGTAGTTATACTTGAGCTATTGACCAATCACTGCCAACCCCATCGTCTCACATCGACTCTATCTGTGTGCCTCTTCTACTTTGTGCATTCAAGGTCTCATTTTGTTGACTTTGGCTAATTTAATGATATAAATGATAAATAATAGAAATCAGAGTAATATAACATTTTCCTTGTCTCATGACAAACTAAGAGACATGAACACTGATACTAACAATTACTTCAGATGTGTATCTGGAATACTTTAAGACTCCAATTCTAAGGCTTGTTTTCTTGTTGTATATGTTTCAGGAGAGTAGGGGCTAACTGCATCAGTTTCCACATTTGAAGAAGAGATACAAAATAGTTATCTATAATGTAAGTGAAATGTGTATTGAAATGGTTAAATTGAAGAAACCAATCTTGGGTTGGTTTAAGGACACTAAGAGTCATCTCTACCCTTTGCCTTGTAGAGCAAACTGTGCATTTAGAGGGAGCTTAACTAGTAATTCAGAATAACCGCTATTGCATACCATGCATTTAAACTGTGGGGGAATCTAGGTTGCTATGACAATGGAAATATTTTCATTTTCTCCATTTTTAGAGTATAAACACATGAATCCTGAATATTGCTTTGGTTTGCACTTTATGTTTTCTGACTTCGTGAGAGAAGTGACAGAGACACTAGCCATGCTTCTTCCCAGTGATGCCATAGATTCTGTCTTTCACTCCAGGCTCCTTGTGGAGGTCCCAGAACTCGGCTTGGCCGTACCTGGGCTTCACTGACATCTTTTCTTTAGGGCGGTCACAGTGAGAGATAAGACACCTTTCCTACTGTTAATCATTCAAAGAATAACATGTATTTATTTCACCTTGGATTTGAAATCCACATCTCCTTGGGTAAAGAGGATTCCAAGTCAGAGACACCCCATGCCCACCTTTAAGATCATAAGGACTGAATTCTGTGAATATTCTGTTGGGGGTTTTTTAGCACTCAGTAAAGGAAAAAAAAGGTTGAAAAAAAAACCAAAATAATTGCTAAGCCGAGTCTAGAAATCACCACAGGTTCCCTGGAGCTTTTTATATTAGAGTATCTTCTTCAGGACTCAGTATGTGAATTAAGAGGACCACTGAAGAGTCAGCTGTAGCCAGTTCACTTATTTTTTAGTGACCTGGGCCCTGAAACTCTGTATTTGCGTGATAGAAAACACATTGCCTTCTGCTTGACTAGACTAGGAACAAAAATTGTTAAGGAAATTAAAAACAAATACTTTTATATATCCTCTCCTTCTATTACGCTGCCGTATGGTTTTTCTTCTCCCTCCCTTACCCTTCAGTATTGACTGCGTTCCAAGCATGGTGTTGGGAGCTGCAGATAAATTGGTGAATGGGGAAGACGTCTTTTTCTGTCTTCACAGCATCCCAGTCTCTGGGGAAGGCAAATGAGTAAACAGGAAATTATACTATGGTACTAAGCCTTCTCTTAGAGGGCAAGGGGAACACTTCTGGTGTGGGGTTGGGAGAATCTGGGGGATTACTAAGGTTGGGTGTCTTAGATCATTTGGGCTGCTATAACCAAAATACCATAAACTAAGTAGGCTATAAATAACAGAAATTTATTTCTCACAGTCCTGGAGGCTGGTAAGTCCAAGGTCAAGGCACTGGCAGATTCGTTATCTAGTGAGAGTCCATTTCCTAGCTCATGGACAATGTCATCTCCTTGTGTTTCTATATGGTAGAAGGGGCAAGGCAGCTCTCTGGTGCCTCTTTTGTAAGGCACTAACCCCACTCATGAGACTCTACCCTCATGATTTAATCACCTCCTAAAGGTCCCACCTGTTAGTACCACCTTGGGGTTAGATTCAACACATACATCTTTGGGGAAGACAAATATTCAGATCATAGCATTGGGGAAAGGGCAGGACGCTCCAGACCTCTTTTTCCCTTCCTTCCTTTCTACCTTGGCCTTTTCAAGTCCATCATTTCTTGATGTTTTTTGAACTTAACTTTAACATTTGTCCCAGCTAAAATTATGGCTTCAATAATTACTTTTTATTATTGAACATAGGATACAATTTGTAATATTTTCCTCCAAGACTTTGACTTGCAAGGAGATTTATCTTAGGTTCTAAATGCCTCTTTTAAAGGAATACCAACTAGTGTTTCATTAAGGGAAAAAGACATTTCTCTTCGAAATTCATTGAAGTAGCTCTCTGAGCCATTCATATGGTTTATTTCATTCTCTAGTTTGAGAACCTGGCCTCACTATGAAAAAGTGTCTAAATACCCTCGACAATGTATTTTCTCTTTAGTATGGGCAGGAGCTGAGGAAGTGTCTTCAGGACCAAAATGCTATTTATTCCGTGTTTGACACGTACAAATCCTCTTTGATAAAATGTCATTAGGGAGGCATATTGAGCTGTGTGGCCTCAGTTGATAGGTACTTTTCAGCTTTTATCACTGTCTGTGTCAGAAAATTAAGTGTAATCTAGGGTGTTTTCATTCCTTTTATTAATTCTAGCGGGTATATGTTATATTAGGGAATTTAGTAGAACATTTTGCCTTTGAGAAACACACGTCCCTTTCCACTCTAACAGCCTCAGCCTTCTCAGTCTGGAGTGTCTGTGGCTGAAAAAGCCTTTTTGCCCATCCTCGAGTAGCAAGCTCTCTGCTCAGGGATGGCAGAAATTGCAGAGACTAATTCCTTGTTCCATTTTGTAGAGAGAGTGTTTCTTCTGTTTGTTGGGATGGTGAATATTTGCCAGAAGTTTTATGGAAATGCCATTAGAAAATCTAGGCTTGGTTCTTGGGTGCCTTTTCCTGATTTCACCTGATGATCTTCATTCTCTGTGATTCATGCTCCATAATTCTCAGTTAACTCTGGCATATCACCCATGGAGTTACATTCTGTGAGCAAATGGCCCATTAGCATGTGTCTGTGTGCTGCTCTGGGCTGATATAAATCTTCTGAAAGAACTTTGGACTTTGCCACTGCTCCAGTCTGGTGTGGAAGGGCATTGAGAGGCTGCCTGCCTGACACTGCCTTGCCTGTCACGCGGGTGTAGCTTTCTCAATTCCCATCCTGCCGACTTTTGCACCAACTCGCTTATTGAAAATGCTTACTCAAAAAGAAGCCTATTTGGCATTCATGACTTTATCATGTTCTTTATTATTCAAGACAGAAAAAAATGGGGGCAAAGACAAGTTCTTATTTATTTGTATGTGCCTACATTTCTTAAAGATGGAAATGGTGTTGAGATTGCTAATTTTGGGCACATTCTTTCTTGTTCTTAAAGAATTTCTAAGTAAATGCTGAAACCTTTTCCCAGAAATCTAATTAGGTAATTAGTTCTGATTAGTTAACTTTAAGCATAAGAAGAGAATGATGGATATGTATTGACTCCGGACAAGGGGAAGGAGACCACAGAAGCTGGAGGTCTCCTTAGGAACCTGGAAAGAGCACAGAGTTTGGCGGAGGGTCCTTGGGCCAAGAGTGGCAGCTTGGGAACAGTAGCTTTTAGAAGGGAGCAGCTCCAGGGTTTGGAAGTATGAAAAGAAAAAAAAAAAAGTGGTGGTGGGAAATGATCCCAAAGAAAATGATCTACCAGTTAGACTTCTCACCTCCTATCCATTTTTTATATCCTCTGATTTAAGTTGCTGAAACATAGTTTTACCTAGAAGAATATTAAAGGAAAATAAAAAGAAATCTTTAATTCTGTTCTCATCGGAAGTTATTGCTTATCATTATTTATTTGCTGATACTCTTTTCCTAAGCTAACACCTTAAAATTAAGTAATTCAAATCTGTGAAAATCCTTTATGGAACTGCGTAAGGCTGTGTCCTTTGCAGGATGACATGTATTAACACTTATTTATTAGGCTCTGGGGAGTTGGTTTTCAGATTGAATGAAGTAGCGCTTTGTCTTGTAGGTGCACAAATTACTGAAAATTGAGGTTTTTCTTCCTTCAGTGTACATTACCAGCATTATAGGCTTTTAGAGTATTAAAGGAATTTAAGTTATCTGCCCTAAGTCCTTCAAAAAAAAAAAAAAAACCTAATCAGTTCAGAGAAGGAAAAGGAGAAAGAAAACAAACACTGGTCCCAACTCTGTGCTAATAGCTTTCAGTACCTTATCTCATTTAATCTTAGCCCTGACAGATAGCTATTATCCCCATTTCACATGTGGGGTAACTGATACTCAGAGAGGTTGAGGACCTTGCCCAGGGAAACACAGCAAGAGGCAGAGATAGGTTTTGAATTTAAGCCTTTGTACTGCCAATGCCCATACCTTTTCCACTACCCCACATTAAAGCCACTCAGCTCCTTAGTGATGAAGAGAATGGACCTAGCTGCCTTAACTTCCCTAAACAGAGATCTTTTCCATAGATTATATGACGTACTTTGGAAAAATCTGAACATGTTTGACAATTGTAACAGAAATTGGTATAGATTTCCTTTTTTTTTTTTAATTTTTAAAAGATAAAAATAATTTTCCTTGAGTCTGTAATTTCAAAATTAACCCCCAACCTTCCCCATTCTTTGTAAAAGTTTGGTTCCTTGCGTAGATAGAAGCTAATTGAGCTTTGAGACACATCACTAACTTAATTTTAATCTCTGGTTGCTCTTCTATATTTACTTCTTTTCCATTCAGATGATAATTATGCAACTGTGGTTACCCTGATTAATGTTTTACATATTTCCCCAGGCATTCATGGAGATTGACTAAAATATAAGTTACCATTGGCTTCAGAAAACTTCTGATTGGCATTTAGAAACATGTACAAAACATACCCCTTGGTAAGCAGTGTTCCAACTAACAATTTTCCTCCTTTTAAGGAAAGGGGAAGAAAAAAGAAACATTTTCAAGGGAGATTTTTGTTGCAGTAAAGGGAGACTATGGTTTGAAGCTATTATTTTTTTCCATTTCAGCCTTTTACTTTGTATGGGAAAAAATTTAAAATGGATGTATTCAGGTGTTTTTAACATGATGAGCTGGAATGGAATGCAGAATCAGCTCCTTTTCCCTCTTCATCTCAAAGGAAAAATATCACATATCTCAAATTGCCTTGGGTCACAACACTATTTATTGAATTATTCAATAGTTTGAACTGGTAGAATTAGAAGATTCATTAGACTGAAGGTCAAAAGTTAAGTTAAAAACATTTCCTCATAGTTATGATATGACTCGCAATGTTGACAGATTCCAGAAATGCCATAGAAGCTGAGAGATGCATAGTCTTAATGAGCTAGAAACATTCTTTCGCCTGGCCATTTAGATCCCTGACCACTCAGAAGTGCCCTGAATTCAAATCATTTAGGTCTGTGTTCACACCAGCAAGCAAGTATGTAGTGGGTCAGGTAGACACTGGTTCCTTTCACAAAGTATTTAGATGAAAGTGAAAATTATCCTATTGATTTAGTTTTATTCTTCTAGTTTTATCTACATCTCATGAAAAAGTGAAGCTGGGACATATACTTTGAACAAGCAGAACTTTTTTGCTTTTCAACTGATCTTTATGCTATCTGTTGGAAGAGCCTTGTAGTTTGAAGTTATAATATGGAAACTGTATTAAGAGGATTTCTCATTAGAAGTTATGGCAAAAGAAAGGGTAATAATAAAACCGTGCATGTCTAGAGTGCCAAGCTTTCCTGGGCAATACAATATTTACCTACCTTCTTTCTAATTTATTTTTATGTCATGAGTACTTAGTTTTGAGTATCACCATATTCGAAATGGGAGGAAATAATTTTCAGAATAAAGTCCCAAGAACTCCATTATCTTGACAGCAATGTAGCCACTGTACCCCACTTCCCCTTCCCATTCAGCAGCCCATCCAGAAAGTTGAGCTTTGAGAAGTTTTCTATTCTACATCCTCTAGGGCCACCCCAAAATTCATTTTCTTGCTGTCTGTTGAAGCTCACTTCTTTTTAAATGCGTTAAGTTATTAGTGTGGACACTTCAGAAATAATTGATGGTGAGGCATCTGAGGAATCAGATGTCTGCTTACTGTTTTGGCTGTGGTTCCTGTCCTCTCCATTAAGGCTCTCTTTCCAGGTGATTGATGACATCTTGTTGATCTGAACTTTAAGATGCTAAGCTGCCAGAGAGGGTGATGTCTCTCAGCAGCGTTTGGTACATATGACTACTTCCATCTTCTTAAAATACTTTATATTCTGGACTTCAATTATATTACCTTGCCCTGGTTTTCCTCCCACTTCACTGGCCTTTCTTTCTCAGTCTCCTTTATTGATCCTCCTACCACCCTCTAAATATTGAGAATGTTTCAGAGCTTGAACTTGGGTCTCCTTCCTTTTTGTCAACATTGTTCTCTCCCACTAGTGATATCATCTAGTCTACTGGTTTTAAATATCATCTACTGGGGCCAAGTGCAGTGGCTCACACCTGTAATCCCAGCATTTTGGGAGGCAGAGGCGGGTGTATCACCTGAGGTCAGGAGTTCAAGATCAGTCTGGCCAACATGGTGAAACCTCGTCTCTAATAAAAATACAAAAAAAAAAAAATTGCTGGGCATGGTGGCACATGCCTGTAATCCCAGCTACTCAGGAGGCTGAGACAGGAGAATCACTTGAACCCAGGAGGCAGAGGTTGCAGTGAGCCGAGATCGTGCCATTGCTCTACAGCCTGGGGGACAAGAGCAAAACTTCACCTCAATAAATAAATAAATAAATAAATATTATATATTGGCTATTCTTAAATCTATATATCCAATTGGACTCCCACTTAGATATTTGAGAAATATCATATACATACATGTCTAAACAGAACTAATGTTATTCCACTATACCCCTAAACCCACTTTTACCCCAGTCTTTCCAATCTCCATAAATGGCACCACCATCCATCCAATTTCTTAGGACCCAAAGTGAGGGGTCATCATCAATTCCTCTCTTTCCCTCATTTTTTACATCCAATCCATTAGCAAAGCCTGTCTGTTTGACTTCCAAAATATATCCCAAAGCAGGCCACTTCTCGTCATTTTTGTTATTATAACCCCTGTTCAAGCCATCAGGATCTCTCCCTTGTGTTCCTGCAGCAGCCTCCAAGCCCTGCCTCTAGACTCACACTCTACAGTCCATTCTGCATACTGAGCCAGAGTATTCATCAGGCTGCCTCACTTCCTTGTGCCATAACACCTTCCAGGGGCTTCCCATGAAGACCAGTGTGACATGTAGACTCCTTACTTTAGCCTCAAGATTCCATGCCTGCAACTCTGGTTTCATCTCTTTCCACTGAATCCCTAGTCTCTGGGCCACACTGGCCTTCCCTCTGGACCTTAACCCTCCCCAATATCCCTATGTGCTTCCTTGTCCTTCATGTCTTCCCTCTGCTGCTTTCTGTCTTCATTTACTCACTCCCCTCCAAGCAGCCATTCCTGACCACCTTAGCTAATGCTGTCCTTCCTCTGCCACTCCCCCTTAGGATGATCATATCTCATTTATTTCGTTTTCTTCACAGCATATTTTAGTACTTGAAATGGACTGTTTATATGTTGTATTCTCTGTCTTCTACTGCACAAGCTTAAGGTCCTTAAGGGTAGGAAATCTGTCTGTTTCACTGTTATCCCTCCAGTGCCCAGAACAGTGCTTGCAACATAGTTGTTGCAATAAATACTGATTGACTGAGTGACATTTAATATTCTTCATTTGTCTCTTCCCTTCTGTAGCTATTTTGATTTATGTTTTAAAGAGAGAGGTAACAATTTGCTTTGATATGCTGGGCTTAGTAAATTGGGTTTGCCCCATTCATCTGAAGAAGCTATGCTGCCAGATCCCATCAATCTTTTAAATGTGACTTTTCTTTTTCTGCCTTCTTCTACGTGCTGGAAGTGGATTTACTTTATGTTGCAAAACTGTTGTCCCATTTTTTAACCAGTATGTGACAACTCTTGGAATAAGTCTATACTGATTCCCTTCACTTCTTTCTTAGTTTGGGGGTAGTTTGTGTGAGACTGTACTCTTTTCATTATATGGCCCTATAAGAACTGAGACCAACTCTGTCAAGCAGTCGTTGTCCTCCATCTCCCTTCTCTGGGATTGCAGAAGGAAAAATCCCTAGCTTATGCATCAAGAAACTCTCTATTATTGATGTTGTAAAGTTCTGCACACATCAGATGGAGAGGTGATGGAAGGAGCAGCAAAGCTGCTGTAAAATCTTGAAGGGGAAATTGAGGAGGGGGTTACCAGTGTTCATTTTGCCCTGCTCCTTGGGAGTCACACCTGCATGGAAAGCTCCAAGCAGAGTAGAAATCAAGCACATAAGGCCGAGTGGGCTATGCCAATTTCTGGTTAAGGATTCTCTGTTCCAGCATAAACTTTGCATTCTCATGACAGAATTAAACTACTGTCTGAGTTCCTAGTAAATGCATGACATATTGTGAATTACTAAGTAGTGGTCTTGATAGGTTAGAGGACAGGATGGTCAGGGAGATAAATGAGACATGGATCCTATTGCTCAAGGAGCTTCTAATGAATAATATAATATAACCCACATAAAAGGGAGAATATGAGTTAGGCCAGTAGAAAGAAACAAGCAAAATGTGATGGATATTTAAAGGGGGGAAATCACAAGTAGGTTGAAGGGAGGATGGGAGAGAATGAAGAGGGAAAGCTGCATGGGAGAGGTGCCGTTTAAGGAGAACATGGGGTGTGGGGTGTGACAACCTGGGGAAAATGTGCCCCAAATGACTGAAATGTTACGGACAGGGATCCTCAGGCCATCCTTACTTCTGTTATGCAAGACTTTGAATAGGCCTGTTAAGGGAAGTATTGCCAAGGAAGCTTGCTAGACCTTTTGCAAAATTAAGAACTGTTGAGCAAAATAAAGTATTCATCTGCAAACCTGCTGTCCAGCTGACAGATGGAGCTCTGGCCAGGAGCCTTGCCCGGTGTTGTGTCTGTCAACAGGGAAACTGGGAGAAGCTTACTCCAAGGGGCCTGGAGGACTATGTTTTTTCATAAACAGATTTTTCCTAATAGCTCTTTCAACTAGGTTGGCCTTGCTGGGCATCCCCCATACCACTACTTACCTCACATTTTTCTATAAATCAATCCTCTATTTTACTTAAATGAATCTCGGCCTATTCTAACAATAGTATCTGTGAAATTATGAGTCTGATCCACCAGTTTTTATGTTTTCCCAAATTTTACACCCCCTGCCATTATCTCATGTATTTTATAAAAGTGATGCCAAATCTGTTTCTGGGGAACTTGTATCTCTGCCTTTAAAATAGCTTCAACTTTTGGGGAAAAGTAAAATTACTTCTTTAACATCCTTGTAGCAGTCCTATTAAGTCCTTCTGCCTCATCTCCCTCCTCCCTCCTATCCCTGCCCCTTTCTAGATTCTGTAACATTCTGAGCCTGCAGGGATTGTAGAGGACATAATAAAAAAGATCTTGGGTATTTTAGGATTTGAAGTGCAATAAAAGGAAATTACTGACACACTGAATTGCCATTTAATGGGAGATGGTGATATCGATCTGGTAATGTTTCCTGCGGTCCTAGTTGTAATAACTGTATAATATCATACACTTTATCAAAATAATTTAGAAGCTGGCAAATGAAGTTGTTACAGAGCCTCTGAGTAAAATGGAATGAAAGTCAGAGGGTCCAGAAGATGGTGAGGGAAGAAGAATGGAAAGGGCTACAGGACTAAATTAGAGGAAGACTATAAAGCTCTGGTCAGAATAGATTTCTGAGGATTAAGTTAATGTCTGCATGGGGCTCTAAGTCTCTTGGATCCTGTTATTCTACGAAGATACAAAATGATGTCCTTATCTCCTCATTTGCTTTAACCATTCTTCTTCTGAGCTGATGTAAGTTAGCATGTACACTTGCTTGATTTGTAGAATATGATTATGTTTATTAGAATATTTCTGATATAATAAACCAACTTTATGACGGGTTTGTTTATCAGCAGGTTGCAAGTTTAGTGCGGGGCTTAACACATTGGTTTTTATAGCGCATAATGAAATGTCTGCTGTTACCAAAAATTTAATGAAAATTATGATAGTATTCCTCAGCTTCCTTATTAAAAAATTAAGTCCTAATATTTCTGAAACTTTCATTATTACTTTAATCAGTTTGTATCCTCAATATCCTTTTTGAGCCCTAAGGTTCTTGAATTTTCAAATTTTCTTCTGTGTTCTTTCTTCACTGTTTTCTTCACATGAGTAATTTAGAACATGACAATAGAGAATTGGTTGAGCATAATTAAGGGAGATTTCTCTTTTTTTGAACAAATAAACCCCTACTTACTACTGAAATAATACATATTGTAAACCTTCTTGATTTGGTCTTCATTTAAAAATTTCTAGTAACTTGGAGAGTCACTGATATTTGATTTTGTATGAATGACAAAAGGGTGTTTTCTAAGAAATTAAATAGTATAAATATGTTTTAAATGGTAGCTTTAAATTTAAAGACCCAGGTTTTTTAGCACTTCAGAAGTATTAATTTTCTTGACCATTTCAGGTTTCTTTTCAACTCTTGTCTTCTGTAAATACAATATGTCAATTTTAAAGAATTTTCAAGTAATTAACCTATATGGGACCTCTTCTAGAAAACATCTTGGCCGAGAGTGTACAGATATTTTTAAACCTTTGAAAATATTTTACATTTAGTTAAAAGCTTTATATTTTTCTATTTCTGTGTTTTCTTTACTAGTTTAGGGACAGAGCTATATTATATTTATCTTAAATATCATCTTAATAGTCTCATTTTACCTTTTTTAAAGTGGAAAAGAAAATAGAACACTGAACTCTTGACCTTCTCTATGAGTCTGTGGGCACTTTTTCTTATATGTTTATTTTGCTGTGCTGTTTACTTCTACAGATGTTTACATAAAGAGCTTTTCACAGATTTTGGAAACTTTTAGGTTCCTATGAAAGCACGGCAACTTTGTAAATGGGGATGGTTAAGAGACAGTTCTAAAAGGTGGCCCTATTTGCACACATACACAGTAGTTACTTCGATATTTTAGCTATGTTTGTCAGGTATTTAGCGCAACATGCAAACCATAGCAGCAGTAACAGGGAACTTCTGTTGTAGTGTGTGCCATGAACGCCAAACCTTGATTCTCTAGTCTTCCCAGGTACCACACTGAAAGTAGGAGCCTCTCCATCCATCTCTTTGTCACGGGTGCCATAATCCTAGGCCAGACCCTCATCTTCTTGTCTCATGCTGGATTAGGGATGCAGCCCTCTCCAAGACGTTTATCTCTCTTTTCTTTCTCCCTAGCAATCCTTCCATGTTGCCAGAGTAATTTCCCACTTTTAGCCACTTACATTTAACACCTTTACCATATGAAATCCAAACTCCTGTGTCTGGATTTCTAATGCTGCAATAAATGGCTTCAACCTTATTCAACCTTATTTTTTTTTCTAAATGCGAACAGGCCTCTTGGCTCATCTTTGGTTCTACTGATTGGCAAACATAAGAATAAGCATGCTTATTCTTATTTCCATGACTTGATTTATGACACCCCTCCCCCAGCTTTTCTGGAATCTGTTTCCTTACTTTCTTTCATTTTATCCAACACCTATCTGCCCTTCAAAGTCCACCTTGATTGTTAGGTTCATCATGTTCACCATCTCACTACTCCTCTTCACTTCAGAAGACCACACTTAAGTCTCTACCAGCAATGTAACATGTAGCTACCAATTGATTGGTTTACTTTTCAGGAGCACATGAGTTGTGTAAAATAAGAAATACCTCTAAATGTTCATTTGGATGATAATGATTCTTAAATGCAAGACTTATGTACATTTATGCTTGCTTATAACCTTTTATTTTTCATAATTCCAGTTTTCTAGCAACTCTCCTAGGTTAAGAAATGAAGAAGTTGGATTAGGTATCTCATCTTTAGAATGTTTTCACCATTAAGATTTGAATAAATTTTCAGAGTGCATAGTTGATCACGTTTATGTGTGTGATACATATAAAGTAACAATATTTTTTAAAAAGAATCTCATATCTTATTAAATCAAGTACTGAATATGAAAAAGAGGCCACTTTGTTGACACATGACAGAATACTTTTTCTGCCAAATTGTAGTTCTTTGTGCTTGAATTTGCATGGGCAAATAGTCCCGAACCAAAATATTTTCTTTAGCACAAACTATTTTACAAAACAATGGCTAATACATTAACCCTTTTTTATTTGTATTAATATTGCCAATCAGCCTAGCAGTATAATACATTTTTATCAAATGAGTCACAAAATTGTAAAATCACAGAAGTTAGAGCCAAAAGTGACACTGAAAATTAGTTTTAAGCAGAATTTTACATATTTAGGACTGCGAGTAAGCATTTTATCTTGGTACATGAGGTGGAAAGTTGAAAATATTCACTTGCTTCCCCCATCTTCATGGGAGGAGTATATTTACTCACGCCAGGATCTTGACCTTGGCCTGTGACTTTCTTTGGCATCTAAGATGGTGGTGTCTACTACCTGTCCCTTGACTTCTGGTATGGCTGTGTGACTCCCTTTGGCCAATGGAATGTTAGCATTCGTGACACTAGGTTTAAAAGGTGTGTTGTGCTTTGCTATTGCCAGGGGAAGAACTTCCCCAGGTAGTTGCTGCATCTTCGGTCTGGGTGCCTCAACGAGTATGTATAGAGTAGACATAGCACAATCTGTAGTGGGGAGTCAAGCTCAGTTAGACCTACTGTTTGAAGCAGAGCCACTGGCCTACTTAGATCACAGCTGAGTTGGGAATCCAGGAGCATGAGAATAGAATGCTTATTGGCATATGCCGTTGAGTTTGGGGTAGTTTGTTATGTGGCATTACTGTGGCAATAGCTAACTGGTATAACCTCGTAGGACAATCTTATTTTTAATAACATAATTTCCATTTCTAGTACTAACTTTCTTAACTAACCCATTTACGTTCCTTTCTGGCTCCAAGACACACTGTTCCCACTCTAAAACAATCTGACTGATGCCTGTGACTCACTGATTGCTTGCAGCTGTAGCTTATTTTTTAGTGGGCCCACATACTTTTGCACCTAGCAGTTGCTAGGTGTTTACAAGAATCAATTTTTGTTGTTTTCAAACTTGCTGATACCAGTTGTACTTATATATTTTAATTAAATATTATGTAAATTAATGAAATGTGCCTGTGTAAAGGTTGCTTCTGGGAAACCAAGTTAAATGCCAGGAAAAAACTAGTTTCCAGAAAGTTTCTGCCAAGATATAACATCTAGAAGGTTGTTTTTTAAGTATTCCTAAGTTATTGCTTTATTTTTAGAGAATGCCTAAATGGAAATCACAGACAATTAACTCTATCTGCTGTTTCATGCAAGACAGAGCAGATCATTACTGGATATATACCCAAGGAAAAATAAACTGATCTATCAAAAAGAAACAAGCACTCAGATGTTTATTGCAGCACGATTCACAACAGCAAGACATGGAATCAACCTAGATGCACATCAGCGGTGGATTGAATAAAGGAAATGTGCATACACACCTTGGAAAACTACACAGTTATAAAAAAGAATGAAATCATGTCCTTTGCAGAAACATAGATGCAGCTGGAGGCCGTTGTCCTAAGTGAGATAACACAGGAGTAAAAAACCAAATACGGAATGTTCCCACTTGTAAGTGGTAGCATTGGGCATACATGGGCGTAAAGATGGCAACAATAGACACTGGGAATACTAGAGTGGAGAGAGAGAGAGGAGGGCAAGGGTTGAAAAGCTACCTGTTGCTTACTATGCATAGCACCTGAGTGACGGGGTCACTTGTACTCCAAACTCAGAATCACACCATATACATTTGTAACAAACCTGTACATGTAACCCCTGATTCTAAAAAGTCAATCTTTTTTTTTTTAAAAAAAAAAGGTAAACTTGGGCAACATGGCAAAACCCCACCTTTACTAAAAACAACAAAAAAATTAGCTGGGCCTGGTGGCACAAGCCTGTATTCCCAGCTCCTCAGGAGGCTGACTGATGGGAGAATCAGCTGAGCCTGGGAAGTCAAGGTGAGCTGTAATTGCACCACTGCACTCCAGCCTGGCTTATAGAGTCAGACCCTGTGTCAAAAAATAGAACACTAAAATTCTAACCCACAGAAATTCCTGAGGGGAGGAGGAGTGGCTGGGTAAGAGGGCTTGACCTTTCTGAAGCGATTGGTGAATGAGCTTATAGTTATGTATTTTATGTTAAAGTTACATGTTTAAGGTATGCATTAATCCTTTAATAAACTTTTATGAGTAATTAATCAACTATTAGGGAGTGGCTTTGTTAGGGATATCTCATTAGGGTTTGCTCCCTATAGAATGGTGTTGAGACAATCATAAAGAATCTTGACTTTGGTGCAAACATTTTCTCATTTTTATGCTTCGCCATGGTAGTTATTTTTATAGGTAGGCCTGTGTTTGGATGTTCTATACCTTTGAGTTTTGCTGGGCCTCTTTGGGTTTCCTAAGTGCAATTTTTGGATTGTATTTTTTGGTGGTTAAATCTAGAAATCTCCCTATGTAATATATAGTGATGGAAGTTGCATTGTGTAGACAACTATTTAAATATGTATTCTTTATGAAGTATATATTTTTATGAAGTTTATGTGTCTACATATATATATACACACACGTAATTTTCCTATATAAGAAAATTATAAGAACCTGTCAAAATAAATAGAAGAATAAAAACAAGTTGTGAGTC
Source organism: Homo sapiens (assembly GCF_000001405.40). NCBI lineage: Eukaryota > Metazoa > Chordata > Mammalia > Primates > Hominidae > Homo > Homo sapiens. Next base: position 46,394 of record NW_013171808.1, read on the forward strand.
AATTCTTTAGTTCTTTAGTTTTGAATCCTATTTGCACATAGTTAATTTGGAACATGCAGCAATTCATCTTAGGTTTCCTGTCATTAGTAGCGATTAGTAAAGGTATGGAGCTAGAGGGAGGGATATTTCTCTGGAGACCAGCCCATCTCAGGAGACAGTGTACCTGGAGTAGGATATGGTCCATGCCTGTTGATCAAGTGTGTGCTGTTCACTCTGAGTTTACAGCATGAGTGGCTTCTCCTCCTCTGGTGGTGGGTGCTGTTGGATTCTAAGGACAGGAATGCCAAGAGAAGATGAGGAAATGAAAACAGTAACTCTTAAATAGGAAATGGCCATACCAAGTGGGTGAAATCCCAGCATGAGTAATGTAAATGTGGGTCCAAGGAAAAGAAATATTATTTTAAATTACATTACTAAACCTTTTATCTAAGACTTTATAAGCCCTGTGTGCTGTGCATACTATAATGACCTTAGGATATGCAGTTTTATTTAAATATCCATCAGGGCTCAGCTGCTTCTGTCCATGGAGTGATCAACCCCAGTGTGTGGCTCAGCCTCTCTCTTCACTGACTGCTGCTGCAGCTGTTATGCCACCCCTGCCTCTTATGTGGGAAGTTACAGGGGTTCTTTACTGTCTTTGGAATCAATCACCAAATCTTGTAGATTCAAGCAGCTTAATATCCTTTGTATGTATCCCTTTTCTGAATAATTATTATAATTATTTAATTTATTGAACACATGTTATGTATCATTCATTTACTTTTCTAAGTGCTTCACATGTATTAACTCAATTATCTTCACACATGTGTGAGTGCATGTGCACACACACACCCACCAAAAAAAGAGGTACTTTGTTCATCGATACATAATATTTTACATATTTATGGGGGCATGGGATATTTTGTTGCATGCATACAATGTGTAGTGATCAAGTCAGGGTATTTGGGACATTCATCACCTTGAGTCTTTATCATTTCTATGTGTTGAGAACATCTCAAGTTCTTTCTTCCGGCTACTTTGAAATATGCAATATGTTGCTGCTAACAAGTCACCCTACTCTACTACAGAACATTAGAACTTACACCTTCTGACTGTATATTTGTACCCATTGACCAACCTCACAAAAAGGAGGTACTTTTTAAAATCCCCACTAAAAGGATAAGATAACTGAGGTTCAGAATATTGCTCCAAGTCTCATGCTAGGTTAGTAGTGGAATAAGGATTTGAAGCCAGTCAGCCTTAAGCCATGATCTCAGTCACCTTGCTCTATTGAATCATTATTAATTGACTTAAGTTTCTCAAGCAAATGTGTTTTCTAGTAAAAATAAAGTTTTTCAACTAATCTTTTCCTACAAATCTAGTATAAAATCATAGGTATCCATAGATTACAACAACAACAAAAAAGACTATATTGTTGAACTAGTGCTAAAGTGTCCTTCCAAGGAAGAGGGAACATTAGTGACTTGCTCAAGAACGATCGAAGACATGAGCTGAGGTACTTTGACTCTCTGACTAGCTTTTCCATTTTATCATACAGATTTAATATGACAAAAGCCTGTTCTTATAGCAGCTATGAACATTGGGTATAGGAAAGAAAATGATTTGAGAGGCCTGGATGTAGGGGTTTGGAAAAAGTTTTTAAAAAATGCTCAGAAGATTTTGGAATTAATTGAAAAGGTGTACTTTGAAACTGGAAATTGACATTTAAGAAATACAGCAGTAAGTAATTAATGGGAATGAAAATGTTGAAAACACATATGTATTCCTTTTTGTGCATTACTGCTGTCCTGCTTAAGGTAATTTTTTCTTTGCTCCTGGATCGTTGCAGTAGCCCTCAAAAATATCTTTTCTGCCAGCTGCAGCTATCTGTCATTGCTGCAAGCATTACCTTTCTAAATCACAAACAGGATCATGAACCTCTTAAAATATTTCAGAGGTCCTCATAACTAACTCTGTGATCAGTTAGATCTCTATAATTCAGCTCCCAAGGCTGTTCATGCTTTATTGTCTGCCCATTTCTCCAGCTTCGTCTTTATTAGGCCACTCCCTCACCCAGCACACATATACCATTTGATCTAGCCTTACCAAATGACTTGAATTTCCTGAAACTTATCATGCTGTTTCATGAGAGACCTTCGTACATACAATTTCTTGTGTCAACCCTGTTCTTCCATTTCCTAGTATGTTATTTTTATTTGTTCTTCAAAACTCAAGCCAACTTCTTAAAATCTAGGTTCTCTTTGACTTAATAATTCCACCTCTAAGAATCTGTTTTAGTGAAATATATATTTATTGCAAATATGTTTATTGCTACTACTTATAATAGCAAAAAATACTGTATTTGAAGCAATTAAATATGCAGTAAGGGATTGATTTAATAACTACTGTGCAATATTACATAGCTATTAGCTTTGTATTGTCAAAAATTTTTTGATAAGATAAAACCTATAATATTAAATGACAAGAGTATGAAACACAAACACATGTATATGTCTTTCCATTTGTACATTACTCTCTGTATGTTAAGTGGGGAGTGGAAGAGAGATTGCAAAAGCTCACTGGAAGGAAATATCTTCAAATTAATAGAAGCTCTTTAGATGATAGGATTATAGGTGATTTTTATATCTTTATATTTATAATTTATTTTATTTTGCAAGTTTCTACAAGTATAGATGTATTTTGTAATCAAGAAAAGAACAATTTAATTACACACATGCAAATGAGTTCAAGGATCTGGCTACCTGGAAAGCCTTCCGCACACTCCCTTGCTGATCAGGATGCCTCTCTTCTGCATTTCCGCAGGGCCTGTGCTTAACTCCAGTTGTGCACCTGTGGCACTGAATGCCAATCACTGACTCATTCATCTCTCCCTGGTCCTAAACTATGATATTCTTAAGGGCAGGCATGAGTCTTAAGTGACTTTTCCTCAGAGCCTAGCATAGTAACTGCCAGATGGTGAGTGCTCAATCAAAGGTATTGAATCAATAAATGAGAAACAAAGGCTTCTCTGGATTTAGTCAGCCACCCTAATCGCTCACTGGTCCACTGCATGAGAACATTAGACCTGGATTTCAGTGGAACCTGGGAGAAATGATTGTATGTTTGGATTACTCCTTTTCCTAGTAGCTTAAACTAGAGTTCTCATATTCAAGGATCCTACTCTTCAAATCTCCATCCCCACCATCTGACTTGTGCAAACATTATCCCTTCTTTTTTTTTTGAGACACAGTCTCTCTCTCTTGCCCAGACTAGAGTGCAGTGGTGTGATCTTTGCTAACTGCAGCCTCCACCTCCTGGGTTCCAGCGATTCTCCTGCCTCAGTCTCCTGGGGAGCTAGGATTACAGGCACACACCACCATGCCCGACTAATTTTTGTATGTTTAGTAGAGATGGGGTTTCACCATGTTTGCCAGGCTGGCCTTAAACTCCTGACTTCAGGTGATCTGCCTGCCTCAGCCTCCCAAAGACATTGTCCCTTCTTTAAGGTCTGTTTCAAATGCCTGAAGCTCCTTGAGGACCTTCCTGATGTCCCTAGTCTGATCTGAAGATTTTAAATCACTTTATCAGGACTTATTGTCACCTGCCTTGTATTAGCCATTTTTTTCTGCATCTTATTCCCTTATGAGACTTTAAGGATTTAATAATTTCACAGTGTATTCATACATGAAAGCATGATGTTGGCCAGGCGCAGTGTCTCATGCCTATAATCTCAGCACTTTGGGAGGCCGAGGCGGATGGATCACCTGAGGTCAGGCGTTCGAGACCAGCCTGGCCAACATGGTGAAAACTCATCTCTACTAAAAAGTACAAAATCAGCTGGGTGTGGTGGAGCATGCCTGTAATCCCAGCTACTCGGGAGGCTGAGGCAGGAGAATCACTTGAACCTGGAGGCAGAAGTTGCAGTGAGCCAAGATCACACCATTGCATAAAGAGTGAAACTCTATCTCAAAAAATAAAAAAAAAAAAAAAGGATGTTGTAAATCACACATATATGTAATTTATGTCAATTAAAATTGTTTTTAAATGCTTTAAGGATCCTAAGTGTACGAAACATCTTGTTTTGATTTTAGTACTTGACAATGCCTAATAGTATTTTGGTACATAGCTTATGCTCTGTAAACGATTGTTTACTTATATCACCAATTCTGATTTATGCATTTTTTTCACTTGGGCCTTCCCTGACCAGGCAATTGAAAATTGAAAATTTTCTTTGCCCTTGAACAAAGAAAATCTGTGATCCTGTTTTTATTTTATTTTGCTCTATAGTAATCATCACCAACAGATATACTAAATTGTTCACTTATTTACTTATCTATAACCTTAAACAGATAGTAGAGATGATTATCTCTTTTGCCTGTGGCTGTATCCCCAAAGCCTATGACTGTGTCCAGCACTTAGTAGGTGTTCTGTGCTCTGTCTACAGCCCAGCCCGATTGTCTTAATCCTTGGAAAAATCTTCCTCCATAATCCTGGTGTTATCCTTCCAGAAAAGGTCATACTACTAACCATTTTATTTCCACTAAAACAAAATAAAATCTGAGACTTATTAGTCAGTGACAAGTTTTGCCCATGAGTGAAGAGGCATTCAGGTTTTTTACTTGACGTGTAGGTTGGAACATTATAAAGTTCATCAGTCAAAGTTTTTGACACCAAACCACCACCTTAAGAATTAAGCTTTAAATCATTTTCCAACACATCCTGGGTGCTGTGACAGTTAGGTAATCCTGGTTCTATCGGTACACTGGCTCTGTAACACCTCCTAGATTCTCTGCTCATTAGTTTTCATGGTTTGGGTTTCAGAGACTTTTGAGCTAGCAGCTCAGTGAATGCCCAAAGAGTTGAATCCAGTTTCTTTGGCAGCTTTTACAGTTAATGATGACCTGTTCACTTGAATGGCTTCTAGTTTCACCTTCAATTCAGGAACAACTAAAAGCTAAGTGATGTACTTGTCTTACCCCTTCTCAGTGAGACTGGAATAGCATGTCTTCATGTTTTCTGGAAGCATTTGTTAAAGTGGCCCGTGCATAAAGTGAGATCCACAGGGTGAATTTGATATGTCATTCATTCAAGCATGCATTGATTATTTTATTTTACAGTTTATTGTGTTAGTGCACCTTGAGATGCCGCACCAGACATTGACCTACCCTTCAAACACCTTAAATTTTAGAAGGGGTGATAAGTCCCTCTTCCTGACCCACCCAAGGAGGTGATATTGTATCTTTTGTGTCTTGGGACACAAAAGAATTCTGGGAACTTTATTAAATCTCTTATCTTTTTGTATTGCATTTCTATATTTATGTGTTTCTGCAAGTTTCCTGAGGGCTTGGAGCAAATTATATTCATTTATTTCTACATCCTCAGAACCAAGCACAGCATAGGATAAGCCTCAATAAATGTAGGGTGAATAGAAAAGAAAGCTAGGTGCAGAATAAAGTGCACCTTTATTCAGATGAAGGTGGTATAGGAGGAGACATTTGAGCTGACTTGATGGTTGGACACATAGAAAAGGGAGGGAAAACATTATGGCAATGGATGCAGCATGTCAAAGGTAGGAAAGTGTAAAAGGGTAACGCCTCCGAGAACTACAGGGAGTGTTTCCGTTTGGGTAGAGGGTGGGGTTCACAATGGGAGAAAAGTAAATTATGTCAGTAAAAGGCTTGGGATCTGATATGAGTATTGCAAAGGAGGCAGTGAATACCTAATGCCATTACTACTCACTAGTTTTTGTTCCAACTCTTAGGACTCCATCTATTAGATTTTAAGGTTAAAGAAAAGATAAAGGGGTCAGAAGGAGAATATTATGTTATAAGAGTCCTGGAGCACAGGACTCAGCAGGATTAGGGTGGGAAGATAGTCAGGGCTCTTGAAATGGGCCCCTCCCACCCTCAGGTTCTTGCATGTTGAATTCATTTGTCAACCTTAGGGCACACTGCGTTTGAAAACCCTGTGTTGGATTTTTTAGATGAACTTTGCAGAGGTTGAGTACTAAGAAGACTTTGTCGCTCTTGACCCTAGCTGTTTGCACATGCTTCCAACAGAGTACCTCACATAGTGCCCGGGGAATGCTGGCAGGTCAGCTTCTCTACAGGATGGCCAGACTGTCGCATGCTTCTTTGTTTCCCAGAGCCAAGTACAGTGCTGGCATGTGGAAGATCCTCTATAAATATCTTCTGGGTGAAATTGCATTGCTGAAATATAGCCAAAGATACTATTACCTCAGGGACATCAGAAACAGGAGTTTTCGTCTAGATTGAAGTTAGATGCTCATAGCTCATGGGTGATAGAATTTTCTATTAGGAAAATGACATTATAGGTATTATTTTTCTGGTTCCTTCCCTCAGTGGGAATGAGAGGTGAGTGGAAACACAGGAGGGCAGTGAATGTCATTAAATCAGTGAATATATCTAGAATATGAATTAGGGAGTGTTCAGAGAAGTTGAGGCTGCATGCTGAAGACAGAAGACTGATGTCTTCCATTTTTAATAGGGAGGAATGAGAGTGCAGAGTGTAAGAGTGCTCTGCAGACTCTGCTTATGTGTTGCATGTGCACAGCTAAGATTACAACTTCTAAAAACAGTTTTTCTAGTTAGACATACAATTGCATGTACATCTGATTTTTGGTAAGGACAAGCTATTACTTATTGATGTATTATTATTAATATTGTTATTATTTTGCTAAATGGTTAGTCGTTCTATTGTGGAAAAAAGCGAATATGCTGTGCAAGCTTTTATGTGTAGGAATGGGAAAGAGGATACTGGGAGAAGTAATGCACATTTCAGATGGTTAAGTGCTGAACATGTTCTATTGAGGGGAGTATCCCATTCTTACAACACTATTGTAGCTCATTTGAGGGGCAACACAAGTGGCTATTGATCATCTGTGTGATATTTTGGGAAAGACACTTAGGTCTCTGTTTCTATGAAATAATCTTAACCAACTTCTAATGTATTCCCTTTATGCTTAGGAAAAAACAGTTATCTTGGCAGAAGAATCATCTGTCTGGTTCCCTTGCGCATGTCCTGTTTTGTCTCATAAGAAGAGGCATTTGTATATTTTAAATTTGGTGCCAAAATTAAGAAGAAGTATCTGTAGTCCTTATGTATCTGTCTATATGTGTTGAATTAAGGTAGCAGAGGGTAGAAATGGCAATGTGGCTTATTTGGAGGATTGTATATTTTGTTTTCTAGAATGTTCCACCTTGTTTCCTACTTCTCCTCCAGGACGTGGGGTGTGGCCAGAAGGATGGCAGGCAGTGGGCACACAGCTTGGCAACAATCTTGAGTGCCACTGCTTGTGCTTTTCCCCGAGATGAGAGTGTCGGTAAAAACTGCTGCTTAAAACAGCGTGACTCCCTCTCTCTCCCTGGAGACTGACTGCCTTCCCTTTTCTGTTGACCTGAAGCTTTAGATCAGAAGACAGTTCCTAATGCGAAACTCTCCCCAGTTTTGGCAGTGGGGATACACATTGCCAGTGATGCTTTGTCATTCTGGCAGTTGATTTATTGCAGAGGTTCAGTATGCAGTGTCTGTGGATTGGAAAAATTCAGGGTTCAAGTCTTTTCTATCGACCTCTAGGCAATCACTGCCAGTGATAGGATCAGTCCAGGGTTTTTGATTATTCCAAATTTCATGTTGCAGAAGCCTGGATAATCGAGCAGTGCGTAATGGGATGTGAATGCCGAAGTCCTGGAAATAGCTTTGAGAACCTTCTTATATGCACGGAGGGAATGACTCCAACTTATCCCGTTTGTTCATTCAGTTCTCTATGTAATCTGCACATGGTAACTGAGTGGACTGGATGGTGTTATTCAAATATAGTATGTGCTTTTGGTGTAGTTGTTTTCCTGAAGGACCATGCTTGAGTTAGCAGTAGTCTCTGATAACTAGTTCACTTAGAAAAGCTTCACATTTCTCTTGTTTTAATAATACATAACACATTTAAGCCACAGTTAAGAGCATTTTACCATAGGATAGCATAGAAGAAAACTATAGCTGTTGCCAGCCATCTTTTGGTTATACACTAAGAGCTCATTTGCCTTTTGCTATTAACGCTTGTGGCATCTGTTAGAGAAAAGCGACTCCTGGTAGTTTAGACTGCATTAGGTGTGTAGCCTGAAGTATTCAATGCATCAAACTGACTTCAAGTTGACTCATTACTCCCTCTTGAACAAAAGACAGTATGTGTGGAATTCTGATTACAGCTTAGATCTTCAGCTTTAAGAAGCTGCCCTTTGAGCTTGCTCTGTAAATAGTGATTAGGTGCAAACCTTGGATTTTGGTCCTTCACCACCCAGAATGGTGCCTGGGTACTGAAGAAAAGAGCTTTTCCCATTGCAGAAGCACTTTAAACAGTAGATTCTTTAGCAGGGAAACTAAAATAGGTTTCCTGTTCTTCAAATGGGTATTTTAAGTGCTTTGCAGGTGTATCTTAGAGAACGGAGGTATTTATTTTTAATGAGAAGAACTGAAGAATAAAAACAATCACAGCCTTGGAGAATTGCAGATCAAAGCTTTTTTTTATAAAACAAATGAAGGCCTCCATCCTACGAGCTAGTAAATTCATTAATTTTTAATAGAGGAATAGGCTATAAATGGTAATTTAATTCTTTTGGCAGAAGATCGTTTAAGTGGTGTTTAAAAATCTACATACTTAGGTGGTTTGGAGTGAAAACCTGCTGTGATATCTAAGGCAGTAAATGTGCAGTGCAGCTGAAAAACTTGTTCAGAAGCACTATGGGTCCTTTATAACTGCTCTGTTTCTACCTAATGTACAGTATAATATTTTGTACTACAGCCATGTTTAGTTACTTTAGAGCTGGGTTTCCCATCTTGCTGTTTGGGTCAGAAATGCTACTGTCAAGAAGTAGAGTTGTAGGCAGCAATAATTAGAAAATCCCAAGCCTTTCAAATCTATTTCATGTTTCTCCTAATTGGTCAGGATCTCCCCTCACCATTCCAAATACTTGTGCTCCCCTCTTAAGTTATCCCTGTGGTTTCTTTCTTTTGCTCTTCAAATAGCAGCTGTAACATTTACCGAAGAAGCCAAGTTCAGCTCTCCAAATGATGGCTAGTTCCATGAGAGAGCCAGTCTGCTTGGAAGTGCCAGAGGTTCCCAGGTAGCAGCTCTTCTAGAACTGTGCTGCTGTGAAATGATCACATTGGAATGGTCATAGAACTCAGGGAAGCCACATTTGTTAAAGTGGCCTAAGTTTGGAGCCGTTTTGCAGGCACAGAAAAACTGCAGAGCAAATGAGTTGTCTATGATATAGGTGTGTGTATGGAGGCACGTCTTTGTAAAATGGAAGTTGTTGCTGGGCTGAGAAGTACCTTTGGGAAATAAGATAAATTGTGCAGTTGAAAAAGGTTAAGGCGTGTTCATCAATAAATGATTGGATAAAAAAACATGATATGTACGTACAGTAGAATACTATTCAGCCTGTAAAACAAAGGAGATTCTGCAATATATGACAACATGGATGAACCTGGAGGACATTATGCAAAGTAAAATAAGGAAGTCACAAAAAAACAAATCTAAAGTAGCCAAATTTATACAATCAGTGACATGATGGTTGGCAGGGTCTCAAGGGCAGGGAGAGTTTGAGAGTTACTAATCAAAGGACATAAAGTTTTAGTTGAGCAAGATGAGTAAATTCTAAAGATCTGCTCTACAGCATTGCACCAGTAGTCAACCATAGCAGGTCATCTGGGTCTATCCTCTGTTTTAGAGATGAGGAAACTGGCTCAAGGGATATCTCTTGAGCCTTAAACCAGTCAGTACCTGAGTCCCCTTGTTGCATCTCCTGTCGTTTAACTCTATATGCTGGCTTATTTATGCCTTTCCTCATCTTAAATCCTCTCCTGGAATACGGCAGTGTGTAAATAAATGGATGAATGTATGCCTTCTGCATTTTAACTGCTAATTCTTATCAATCTGTTTATCTGTATTATAAACTGACATGTGTTTGCCTATCTTGCTTGCCTTCCCTCCCCTACTCCTAAATTTAGAGTTGTATGAAGACAAGGATTTTGTTTAAACTAAAATAAACCTATGGTATCTAAAATTCTGTCATGTGTCAGTGAGTATTCAAAAAACATTGCTAAAAAGGAGTATCATAAATGAAACATTTGCATTTTTTAGTATTCTAGGCTGGCTGGACCACACTTGGTTGGTTCTTTGGTGATGGACAGTTAAACCTGATCCGGAAAAAAGAAAGGTTTCCCATTTCATTGCCTTCCCTTCTATTCCTTGTGAATGTGCTGACAACACCACCTCAGAACTGCTGGAGCCTAAACAATAATCTCCCCTGAGCTTCAGGCCCTGCTTGCGGGACTCACCATTGGCTGGGGGTCAGAGGACTAGGTTAGGCCTTAATGCACAGACTTGCAGGGCTGTGAAAAGAATCATAAATATCCCTTTTTTGGCTCATCTATGAGCAGGTGTTCTGTAAGTTATCTGTTTGGTGGTTTTAGTCACACATGTTGGCTGGCAGTTTAGAAATTTAGTTTTTGAAGGGTTAATCTCTTGGGTCGGATGATTCCAATTCATGTCCACATTAAGGTGAACAGTTTTCCTTCTCTCTAACCTATATTTTAGTACACTTATGCTCCAGAGCCTAATATATTCAGTGATTTTTCTCAGCATCCTGAATAGGATCTTTAAAGGGCATCTAAAATGTCACATGTCCAAGATGGATGTCCAGTTCTTTACCCCACACATTTGCTACTTCTGCCATCTTACTTGTCTCATCTCAATAAATGGTAGCTCCAACCTCCCAGCTTGGAGTCTCCATGATAGATACACACACACACACACACACACACACACACACACACATATATATGTGCACATTTTACATATATATGTGTAATCTTTTATTCAATTTGTCAGCAAATCCTGTTGGCCGTATCTTCAGAATATTTCCAGAATCTGACCACTTTTCATTGTTACTACCTTGGTCCAAGTCAAGAAGACAGGGTAAAAATGTTATAGATCACATCTTTAATGTTTGGGATGGTATCTAATCCCTAACCCTCAGCTTTGGGGCCCATTATCTGTCTGTAGGATTATTGCAGTAGCCTCTTTACTGGTCTCTTTGCTTCTGCCCTTCTTTGCTGTCATCTGTTTGCAACACATCAGCTCAGTAATGTTGAATATTGGTCAGATCCTATCCCTTCTCTGCTCAAAACACTAAGGGTTTCCTGTCTAACTGAGAGTAAACTTTGCAAAGACTCTACAGAATCTGACCCTTTGTTTTTCTGACTTTATTTTTTACCATTCTCTACTCACTGAGTTTTGACACACTGTCCCCTCTTGTTCCTTGAGTATACAAGGCCTGCTCCCACCTGATGGCCTTTGCTTTGGCCGTATCTTCAGCCTGCTGTGCTCTTCCCCATCATCTGCATGGCTCACTCCCTTACCTTCTTGTCTTTATTCAAATGTCCCTTTCTCAATGGGGCCTTATCTGAATACCCTATTGCCTGCCTATCCCTCTTTCCTGCCTTCTTTCTCTCTATAGTCCTTTGCATCATTTGACTTTATATATTACGGTTATTTTCTTTCTTTTCAGTCTCCCTCCTCTAGAATATAGCCCCTTGGGGGCAAAGATTATTGTCAGCTTTTTGTCTGAGCCTGTATCACTAGCTCCTTAATGGTGCCTGTCCCATAATAAGCCATCAGGATATTGAATAAATGAATGAATGCTTTCCAGCACAATCTGCTTTTTCATGGCCAAAAGGTTCTGTTTTCTGTGGCATTAACATTTAATAAGAGAGGCCAGGCGTAGTGGCTCATGCCTGTAATCCCAAAACTTTGGGAGGCTGAGGCAGGTGGATCACCAGCGGTTAGGAGATCGAGACCACCCTTTCCAACATGGCGAAACCCCATTTCCACACACACACAAAAATACAAAAATTAGCCGGTCTTGGTGGTGGGCACCTATAATCTAAGCTACTCAGGAGATTGAGGCAGGAGAATCGCTTGAACCTGGGAGGCAGAGGTTTCAGTGAGGCGAGATCATGCCACTACACTCCAGCCTGGGCGACAGAGTGAGACTCCATCTCAAAAAAAAAATAATAAATGAATAAAAATATATTTTAAAAGAGGTATTCTGAGAACACTAGCAGAAGGAGTAGATTGAGTTTATGTGGCTTTCTTTAGCTGCACACCAGCCACTTGTAGCACCAAGTTACTTCTCTAACTAATTGGAGAATTTCCACATAATTAGACTGGTGATATTTTAAATACTAATTTGAAAGGCTTGAGTTTGCAAATACATATGAGAAGCTAGAAGCCCCTTAGCTGTCCTCTTAAGGTGTCAACCATAGCAAAAATATCTAACACTCATTAAGCTCTTACTCTGCTAAATGCTTTTTATTCTACACACACACACACACACACACACACACACACACACATGCACGCGCGCAGAAGTAGGTGGGTATTTTCTCCATTTTTCAATTGAGGACTCTGAGGTTGAAAGAGCTTATGTAACTTGTCCAGTACAAAGATGTGTAGGCGGCAGAGTCAAGGTGCTGACCTGAGGTATCTCAAGCACTCTATCCTGTTGGAGGGGTTGATGCTTTAAACATGTTAATGAAAGGGATCTTTCTCTCCTTCTTCCTTCGGTGGGAGCTTGACACTTGTACTCATGAAATCAAGCCCAGCAAGGAGTGTAGAGAGAAGACAGGGTAAGAATGTTATAGATCACATTTTTAATGTTTGGGATGGTATCTAATTCATAACCCTCAGCTTTGGAGCCCAGCTCTGTGCTTCAGGATGTAGAGGGGAGGAACACTAGCTAGTTAGAAACTCAGTTGGAAAGAGGAGCCCAGAGTCTCTGTCTTTGCCTTACAGATATATAGTGTGTGCCTCCTTCCTCTGGACGAAGAGAGTTGGTCTAAATACACATTGTATTCTAGTGGCCAAAAGTTATTTCTGCTTTCCTAGGCCTGAGCCACAGATAAAATTCCAATCTACTCTGATCACCAAAATCAGAAGATTTCAGAGCTAGACTGGATTTTGGAGATTTGCAAAACTTTTCTCACCATTGGTGCTCCAGCCATTCAGAAAAGCATGCAAATTCTCCAACACATGATTTTCTTTATTGCCCTGGATCTTTGTGTGTTCTGCTTCCTGTCCTGTTAAAACTTGCCTTCCATGTTCCTCTGGCCAACTCCTTGTACTTTGGGATTCAGCCTAGAAGAGAGAACACAGTTAAAAATATTCAATTATTTTTTTCAAGGAAAAAATATCACTTTTAGCAATATCATGGTTTTTTTAGTGCTTGCAGTTTAGTCCCCCAAACAAAATATTTATTTGTGTAAGTAACAGTATATGTGGATGCTAGCATATGAAAGTTTGGCCTGTCCTTCAACCTCTTTTATCTAAAAAAATGGCAAAATTGAACCACGGATGTGAAATCCAAACAAGTGTATTTATTAATGGATATTGGTTGCCTGTAATCAAGGCACAGCATTTTGGTTAATCCTAGTCTTAGATTAATGATAAACAGAATAATAATTTTTAAAATATGCTAAGTGTATATCTTTAGCATAAGTATGTGACTACATTAAGTATGGGCTTATCATTATTAGCCTTAGTGAAAGAAGGCATTAAGTTATTTTTTAATGAATCCAGATGTCCAGAACTGTATTTTTCCTCAAATTTTAATGTACCTCCAGAGTAGTTTCAAAGCTAGAGTTGTTGAACATGACCATGGGGATGGGAAGTGAGGTGAGACAGCTGCTTTTGTTTGTGAGGAAACTTAATTTGTGTGACACTTGCCTTCTGTCTTCCAGAAAATTAGCATGTGTAGTTTTAAAACACAGAATGAGGATGCTACAGTGTTTATTAAGCAAATCCGGTTTATGTCCCTGCATATTTTTGTGATAGTGTATAAAAATTTGAGGTTATACTGCATATAGCAAATTCTCCCCACCTGGAATGACACTTCTATTTAAAAGAGGCATTTAGGTGTAAGGTTCAGTAGGCAGAGAGAGGATTGACATTTATTGAGAATCATCTGTGTGTCTGGCAGTGGGCTAGAAGCATGCATTGTGCAAATGCTGCATTTCCCACTGGACTCTGATATCACAGGTATTTTAAGAAGGGTAGAGTGATGAGGATGGGACATCCCAAACACTTCTGAATAAAATAAGCTCTCAGTTGGATTTGCTGGTTCTCGCTTGTAGTCACTGCTATTCAGGAGGTCAAGTCAGAAGGATTGCTTGAGCCTAGGAGTTGGAGGGTGTAGTGGACAATGATTGCACTTGTGAATAGCCACAGCCTGGACAACATGGCGAGACTCTGCAAAGGAAGGAAGGAAGGAAGGAAGGAAGGAAGGAAGGAAGGAAGGAAGGAAGGAAGGAAGGAAGGAAAGAAGGAAGGAAGGAAGGAAAGGAAGGAAGGCTGGCTCTCAATGACCTGAAGTGATAGAGGACAACAACAATGTGGGAACCTTAGCACGTAACCTCCCTGAGCCTTTTTGGTTTCCTATAAGAGGGTGGGAGCTAGAAGGCAGAAATGAAGGGGAGGCCATGGAGGGGGGATGAGCTTTCTTTTTACTCCAAGTGCTACTCTCTTACCTTCTGCTGGGGGTAGGGGCTTTCACTTGTGAGATTACCAGGCAGATCATCAGTCTTTTCTTCTTTTTCAACAGTTAAATTTTTCTTTTCCTTAGTATAAAAGTAATTCAATTATTTGCTGAACATTTAGAGTGTATGTCGATATAAAGAAGAAAATTATAATCATACTCATGATCACGTGACCCTGATATATAACCAGTTTTCAATTTGAAGCAGAACCTCAGATTATATATATATATATATATATATATATATATATATATATAAATAAAATATATTCCTTCCAATTTCAATATACAGTGCATATTCTTTTATTTAATATATTAGTGATCAGTTTTCCTAATTGAGCAATTAGACAATGATGGTCACATGGGTAGAGATGGGTCTCAAGAAAAGGATCAGGAGGTCTTCTAGCCCTCATAGCTACAGGAGACCCATGGTCAGAGCACATAGAAAAGGACTGCAGGTATGTTGATAGTAATAATACATCACAGCTTTGCTTTCATAAGGATCTTTTATTACTCAAAGGTACTCAGACCCTTACACTGCCACTAGGAGTAGAGAAAGGAAGTTTTATGTTACCCAGATTTGAGAAGAGGAAAGGCAGTATTGGGCTAAAGCCACTTGCGTGCAAGTACACAATTGGATAGAGATTCAGATTTCCAATGGGGCAGCTTTTCCACATTATTAAATCTGTCAGTTTCCTGCCATCTTAGTCATCTTGGGCTGCCATAACAAAATATCACAGACTGGGTGAACTAAACAATGGATATATTTTCTCACAGTTCTGGAGGCTGGGAAAATCCCAAATCAAGGTTTGGGCCTATTTGGTTTCTGATGAGGGCTCTCTTCCTGGCCTGTAGACAATTGCCTTCTTGCTTTGCCCTCAAATGGCTTTTCCTTGGTGCATGCATGCAGAAAGAAAGAAATAATTCTCTGGTGTGTTTCTTAAAAGGACACTAATCCTATTCAATCAAGGCCCCACCCTTATAACCCCATTTAACCTTAATTACTTCCATAAAGACCTCATCTCCAAATATAGCCACGCTGAGGATTAGGGCTTCGGCATATGAATTTGGGGGTGGAAGGGACACACACATTCAGTCCATACCACTTGTCCAACAAACACTGCTAGGTGCTGACTTTTGTTGTACTGCTAAGGAGCCTAAGCTACAGAGATGAGCCATTGCCAAGTCATACTATAGTGGAGATAAGTGTGGACCTATGTAGGACAAGCTAGAGAAGGTATCCATTGGGAAGTGATTTGTGAGCCTTGAGAGACAAGTATAGGTGTCATGCAGAAAAGAGGACAGCCATCAAGAGTTCATTCTATGTTGTTGTCTATTGCTAACACAAAGAAAAAGACAGAACCTGATTTTGCCTTTTTTTTTTTCTTATTTTGTTCTATTGAATATCATCATGCTGGATTATATGAGCCTTTTGTAAACCATGGAGATCCTTCACTCCATCCCTCTTTTTCTTTGGAAAGGTGGAAAATGAATAAATAAAATGAAATGTAGAACCTGGAGCCAGGTATTTGTCAGAATGTTAATTCCAGGCATGCATTCCTCTCTGTTTCTCTTTCAAGTCTTGTGTTTTTAAAGACATCATTGAAAGATTTAGTAGTGCTTGTGTAATCTCTGTCAATCCCTACTGATGTATCCTAGTGCAGTTTGCTTACTTTATTCACTGGCCATTGGAATGGTTTTTCCTTTAAAGGTCTTTCTGATCACCCTATCATGAGCAAACCTGAAATCTTAATTTGACTGCTAAGAAAAGGACATCAGAAAGCTGGAGGTTTTCTGTAAAATGCATTTCTCCTGTCATCATCTCATTTACTCATTCAGCTCACATCTACTGAGCATTTACTACTTGCCATAAACTCTTCTAGGTGGAACTATTGGGTACAAGACAGAATAAGATAATTCTTTACCCTGGAATGCATGTAGGTTCATGCAGGGATGAAAAATGTCGTTCAATTCAGCCATAGACTTGGTTCACAGAGCCTGCCAAGAGCACTTATGGAAGAGGTTTCTAAGACTGCATTTAAAGTGACTTGGCCAGGAGGCCGTGTTGGATTATTGGGAGTCACCATGGACTTTGGACAGGGAGTTGAGGAAAAGGAAGTAGTGACTTGCAAATTGCATATTTGCTATCCCGAGCTGTGCCGTGTCTGAATACAATTCTTTCACTGAATTATGGATGCAGGGTCAAAAATGCATTATCTTCAGTGGGATAAAAAATCAGCCTCCCACAATGATCAGTTATCTTGTATTTAAATTTTGTTAGAAATACATTTTAGTCTTCTAGAAATTTTTTTCTCCGTGGCTTTTCCTCTCTTTTCTCCCAAGACTTTAAGTTACAGTTGGGAAATTGTTCTCTTCTTAAGGGAATGATTCATCGTCGGCAGGCATTTATTAATGTTTTTCAGCAAAAGCCTGGGATGAAGCCAGCTGCTTTGCTGACTATGGAAAGAAGGGGCCTCAAACCCTTGACTTTTTCTTTTACACAACAATGTTCATTCTTGGATGCACAATAGAATCACCTTAGATGCTTTTTAAAAGCCCAGGACTCACCCTAAACTATAGAACTTCCAGGATGGGACCCAGACATCAGATTTCAATGTATAACCTTGGAGAACCAGTGTCTGACCAGGGCACATGCAGCCGCCACCAGGTTTTGGTCACTTGGATGGCTGGTCTGGCAGCTGTTCTGGTAATTGTGGAGATAGAAGCTAAGACTAGAGGGAGGAGGCCACCTTACAGGTTTCCCCTGGCTCAATGGTGTTTACTCTGGGCAAACTCAAGGTATACAGTTATGGTTGAGATATTCTGGTCCAACTCTGGACCCACAGTCTTTATGCTTCCCCCGAGGGTTAAAAATCTCAGAATTCCACTTCTAATTCCTACACGGTCTTTGGGAAGCAGTACACAGTTGTAGCTAAGAGTGTGTGGTTAAGACCACAGGCTTTGGAGTTGGAAAATACTGAAGTCAAATCCTGATCAAATGTGTGGCCTTAAGCAAGTAACATAACAGTATCATGACTCAGCTTCCATCTCTGGGAAGTGGTGGAATAATACATGCATTTAAGGATTGTTTAAGGGCTAAATGAGACAATGTACACAAAGAGGAAACACTTCATTATACTAGGTATAAAGGGAGGGCTCCAGAAACGTTGGCTGCCATGGTAGCTGCCAGTGTGAGAATCAACCATAGGTATGGGGCCACTGCTGGTCATCCATCTGCTGACCTAGGAGTAGGAAGCAAGTTCAGGAAGCTGCTGGTGGCCACGTGCATGTCAAGTTCAACTTGTTATGGCCTGTCTGTTTCATGGGTTTTTGACAATCAGTGGAATAAATGGATGAAATATTTAATAGATGTCTCAAAGCACTGTGAAAAGGCTCAGCGCGAAATGGAGCTGATCTCAGTGGTTAGCCTGCCTTTTCTATCTCATCCATGACCTCCCTGTTTGCGGATGGTGCCTGAAGTGATAGCCATTGCGCATGCTGCCTTAAATCATGGCAGTCCCTTTGCTCTAGCATTCCCCAGGCTCAGAACCTAGACAAGAGTACTGACTTTCTTCCTGGACTTGAATGTACCTTCTGTGCCATTTAAACAACATAGTGATCCAGAACAGTGAGTATTAAGTGATCTCTAGATTTCATTTTATTAATTAAAGCCTCTGTATGCATCCAATTACCTTTCAAATAAGCAGCAAAATTAGAGCTTGACTTTTAGTTATCTTGCTTCTACCTTACACTCTAGTAACAAGCAAAGCAATATGTAAGAGAAGGAGAAGGAACAACTGAAGAATTAGATGGTTCACAGCCCTGGAATATTGTAGTTGACTGTCAGGTTTAGTTCATCATTGGTAGTCCTTCTCTTTCATGAAGCCCTCCTTAAATTCCTGTTCTCCTCCAGTCAGCTTCAAGATCTTGTTTCCTCTGAATTTTCATAGTGTTTCATTGACTTTTTGGTGCCAATTTTTCTTTTATTAAAATTGTTTATGCAAATATTTTACAAGCTCCTTATGGGGAAGGCCTTGTATTAGTTAGTTTTATATCACCCCTAGTATCTAACACTGAGCCTTGTACCTAGTAAGTAAACATTTGTCAACTAAATGGTTACATACTTTGTAACAGTCACAAGAAAGAAATCCATACAATAAAGACTCATTATTATTCTGACCATCAAATGACAACTGTCATTTATTTTTCAGGTATTTATTGGTAACACGGATATTATGATCTTTCAGACTCCTTTTAAGAATATTTTGATGCCTTAATCCATTCTCCAGACAAAACTCATGACCAAGAGCAGTAAAGAGCTTCCACCATTAATTTTCCCCTCCAAATCTATGACAATTTTCTAAGCCTGCATTTGCAAACATATTGTTTCTGTGTTGCACGGTTTCCAAGTGAGCGTAGTTATCATTTAGAATTCTCCCACCTGCTTCCAGATGTCAAAGGAGTGGGGGATTGCTCCTGAGAGCTCATCAATTCTGCTTCAGTGGACTCTGTGAGGATGCAGAATGGATAAGTTTGCCTGTAAATTCTCTTTTGAAATCTTAAATTGTCCACAATCTGTGGCAACTCTTGTTTTATTTGAATATTTTGGGAAAGTGGGATGGCAGTAATTTGAAAGAGAAATTCTGTCCAGCATTAGCTGGACATAATAAACCAGCATTGGCCTGTCTGGTGGTAAGCTCTTTTTGGAAGAATAAGCTTGTTTCTGTGAGCACAACAAGGAAATGCGGGTGGTGAGGACATCCAGGATAAGACAAGTGGTGATTGACAGCCCAGCTGGTGGAGATGGGTAATTGGAAATTCATGGCACATAAATCTCCCAGTACTTATCTTGAAGCACAGGAAGAGAGGAGATCTGAGCAGGGGAACATTTAGCTCTTTCAAAGGGATCTAATAAGGTAGCAAATCTTTAAGTTCTTCATTTTAACTTTAATTAAATTATGGTTTTCTGTCTTGGAGAGATAAATGCATGCTGCTTAAGGAATGACTCTGTGCATAGAAAATGGAAATGTGCAGGACTATTGGAGGAGTTCTTTGTTTACACAGAATATGCAATCCTTTCCCATGGGTCCCATTCCTTTGGAGAGCAATTGTTTCTTTCTCTTGATGGGTTTCTGGTTTCCCTATGTACAGTCACATCTCCTTTATGTGTCTTAGCTTTCTAGTTTCCAAACTAATATTTAAAAAAAGAAGTGTTATTAGATCATTATGAAGTAACAATAATAGCAGCATAAAGGAAGAGATGTTCTTCCTATTTGTTGAAGTCTCATGCTTTCTGTGCTGGTTTGGGTCTTTGGTTCAGCATCTCTGAGTGGAAAGTCACCTTTCATTGTCTTCTTCATGATAACCCATCATATTAGTAAAGATGGTCGTTAATCAACTTCCAATTTTTTTTCCTCCAGGCCAGGCAACCTGTTCAGCCTAAATAACTAAGAGTTTTCAATCTCAACAAAGTTGAGTATTTTGAACTTGTCAGCATATGAGTGAGATTAGGACTCTCACTAAACCTGACAGATGGAGCTCCCTGGCTCCTTTCTGTAAGTTGGATGGATCTGCTGAAGGAATGGTTCTTTTTTTTCAGCCCAGCTTCCACTGCCTCTGCCTCATTGCTGTTGAAGTTCAGAACACTTATCTAATCTGAGTGCCCTGTGTGTGTGCAAAGATCTCTTTTTCTGGTTGGCAAAACATTTCATCTGTTGCAATGCCAGAGTTCCTGCTGGTGAGTGGAGCTACACAGAAGAGGGGTAGCTTTCTGTGGCTTTGGAGCTTCCATAAGCATCATGCCTAACATCTGGCTGAGGTCTGGAAAGGAAGAAGAGATTGTAGGGGTACACCAAAGTCCAGAGACAGAAGGAAAAGTACTTATAATGGTGGGGTACAAGATGGATTAATCAAACTGAGCAAATGCATTGAGCTTTGGAAGTGCTGAGCACTTGTATTAGGCATCCTGGAAGTACCCAAGAAAGACAAGATTTGCTTCCTGATGACCTGGAGTCAGGAAATTCACATTATCATCTGAGCTCTTCCAAGAGCCAATCTAGTTACCTGGGTTGGACTAGATCTTAAAGGTAAGATGAAAGAGTTAGTCTAGATAATAGGTGCAGTAAAGACAAAGATGACATAGACTTTCTTGCCCTTTCCAAAGGCCATTAAGGCTGCTTTATGCTTCTAATGTGTGCAGTATGTGTTTTCTCACTCCATGCTCCTTGCTGTGCACAGAGGAGGAAGACAATAAATACATATGAATTGACTGATCCGATGTCGAGCAAGGTAACAACAGAGGGGTGGGTCACAGAGAATGGGTGAAGACTTATATTTGACAATCACAGCAGGAAACCTTTAGTAGAAGTGATTATCAAGCTTTTACAACTATGTCTCATATCTTAAAAAGCACTGTAATTAATATATGTCTCTTCAGTGAAGGAAACAAAAAGCCATATCTTCATTTAAATAACATCAGTAGCAGCTGTCAGTACTACCAATATAGGTTTTGCAAAAGAAGCTTCCGGGTTCACTAGTAGGTTAAGTTCACTTTTGTCATCCTGAAGATTTGTTATGAATTGTAAAGCCTTCCATGGCCCCCATAGCTCCAGAAAGAAATCTATCTCTTCAGCAGGGCACATTCTGACTTTCACAAACTGACATTAACCTTTCTTTTTCCTCCTCATCTCATACATTCAACAAACATTATTAACTAAATCTCTGTGCCAGGTATTGATGCTAGATGCTCATGATTCAAAATGAGTAAGTCTCCTGTTGTCAAAGAGTGTGCATCCTAACAATTGGGGGAATCATGAAACCAATTAACACAATTAAGTGCATATGTGTTACAAGAGGAATTTCAACAGGGTACAAATGTAGGCCATAGACATGTCATGCACTTACATGTCATTATTCGTTGGCTCATTATATTTCCTGTGCTCAAGATTTTGTTTTTGCCAGGTCTTACAGCAAAGCACAGCCCTTCAATCAAATTCATGCTCTGAGGTCACTTTCATGGGCTGTTTCCATTTATGTTCCTGTGAGAGTTTGGGTGTGCATTTATCATGTTACTGTGTCTGTGTTTTCTGCTAGACCATGAGAACTTCAAAGGCTGGGGCTTTGTCTTACACACTTTTGTAACAAGTAGGTGCTCACTGAAACTTTACAGGAAGGCAGATAGGCTGTTATGTCAGACTGCAATTACTGTTTCCTCTGTCTGGAATACTTTTTCAGCAGATCTTTTAATTAATGACTTGCTTTCAGAGAGGCCTTCCTTAACAATCTTATCTAAAATAGACCCTTCTCTTTGTCTAAGTCTCTCTTGATCAGTTTGTCAAGGTATGCTGTCTTCATGGCATATGTCGCTATGTGAAATTTCATATTTGTTTTTGTCTGTTGCCACTAAATGCAAGCCCCCTGAGTAGAGATATTGTCTGTCTCATTCACTGCTGTATTAGCTGCAGCTAGAATAGCACATGGCTCATAGTAAAAAACCTTCAGTATATATTTGTCAAATACATGCATGACATTTAGTTTCTGGTATTTCCGGTCTAACACACCTTTATATTATTTTAAAAAATGAGCTCTTCAAAGTTTTTCATAGTGTTTTCTTCTCTCTCTGGGATTGTTTCGTTGTTCTGGTACCTTGAAGATAATGGCAGCAGGGTGGCATTTAACTTCTTCCACATTTGGCTTGGTGCCACTGACCTTTCATGGAGTTTTTCTCAGCAGATGCTGCACAGAAAATGAGCTCTTTCTCAATTATGGGGGCCTGAGGCCTCTCCTCATGTGCTTTTGGTGACGGGCAGCATGGGGTCAGACTTTGGCTTCTGATCTCCTCTTTCTCAGCTGTTTGTCTTCATCTAGATAGTCAGCTGGGCTACACTCACATAGGGGTTACATTTGAAAGGGAAGAGAGCCCAGTTGGTTTTTCTCTTCTTCATGATTGCTGACATTTCCAAATGTAGTAAGGACATACAGTTGAAGGAAGAGGATAGATAGGTGGCGAAAAAGAAAGGGCACTACAGTGGATAAGCTTGTGATTGGGAAGCCCTAGAGCTTCCACCACTTGAGTGCAGAGGGCCCTGCTCACTGGGATGGAGGTGGCTGGGGCAGCATTTCTCTCCCTTCCTCTGTAGGATCTGCTGCCCCTTCCGTTAGGAGGGAGGGGGATGGAACAGAATGCCTTATTTCTGGGCCCATAGCTCTCTGTCAACAAGTCACCTTTACACTTTGATTATCTTTTTCTATGTTGTCTGGGGAATGGCAAATGGGGGCAGAGCCAGCTTTGCTAGATGACAAGTGCAGCACCACTCTTTATTGGGGACACTTATACCCATTAGTCTCAACTTTGGGGATCACAACAGCCAGTTACATTATTATTATTGTTCCTTTATTCTGAGTGAGCTTGCAATTTGTTTCACAGTTATTCCAGGGGAATAGAGGGTCTCAATTATTGAAGGATCAAATGTCCAAACTAGATCATCTTGTGTGCCTCATAGTGGGTCTAGAGTGTTGTTGCTGTTGTTTGTTGTTTGTTTAGGTGCAACTGTAAGCACAAGAATCCATACGATTCCTCACCTCTTTCCAAAGGGCTTTGAGGGGCCCTGAATCATTCGGTATACAACCTAACTCTTCAGAATGTCCCAGAATTCTACTGACATCATACTAATGAAAGGGCAAGGAAGGGGTTAACTGCTGAAACTCTGCTTCAGGGATGAAAATGTGTATGCATACATGCATGCAGATACACACACACACACTCACACACACATATACATTCACATGGTAAATATGTATATACATACTCATGGTTATGGTATATGACCTACTCCACCATAAGGAGCACATGGTTGCCTTGTTTTGATTGGAGATTATTAGTGTAGGTGCTAGAAATGGCCTAAGAAAAGATGTAAAGTATTTCTTTGTAATGTTTTAAAATACTGCTAGGTAATAATATTCAAACCTCCCGGTGGTTTTACATTACAGAAACCGAAGTTCTAAGGAAAAAATAGGCTTTTTTTTTCTGTAACATGGCTACATAATGAGCTAGACTAGCATTTAGTCAGCTGAAAAACTGGCAGTTTATTGTGTCGATATAAATTGTAATTATCTACCTTTCCTTTTTTTCTCATGTTAAGCTTGCCATTCAAAAGGTTGTTTTATTTCCTAATTTTTTTTTTCTTTCAGCCTTGGCACCATTTATTTGTATATTAAGTTTAATTTAGGGAAAAGAAGAAAAAATTGCTAAAACCCATTGGTAGAAATCACCCATTTGTGGAATATTATCTAACCTCTATAGTGGCATAGAAGGCGATGCATTTACAAACAGTTTCTGCATTTATAAACATTTTTTTTTCATACTGGCAGAAAAATCCAAACAGAACTCATAGTCCTACTTTGAATGAGAAGTACTCTCAATTTGGAATTATTATAATCACTGTTTTTATTAATCATTTAACAATTGTATGGTGTTGATTAATTTTCTGGTAGTGTTATGTTAATAAGATTTCAAGGAAGGGAAATAAGTCATTTCATGTATGTGGGTTTAGTTTAATTTTATTCACCAAAATGGTATTTACTTAATAACAACTGTGGAAATAAGCACAGATTCAGGCTTTGTCATCTTCTATTTTAGTGCATAGCTAATGAACAGAGCGGGTGCCTGTGGAAAAATAGGTTGGTAGCACTATTCAGGGTATGAGTCACAGGGGCCTGCTCCGACCTCATTAGAGTTTTTTGCGGTGTGAATCAAAGATGTTTAGCATCTACCGAAGTAGGCACTAAATAGTGATGTATCCATGGATGTTTGGTTGATACAATTAATGAGGAGGGTTGAAAGCCTCTGTACAATTTTACAGTTTTAAATCTGTGCTCATTCATAAACTCAAGGAAAACTTTTAATTTTTCCAAAATTTCCTTGGGAAACCATTTTCCCAAGGAATTTATTTTTAAATTTGGAGGTACCATTTAGGATCGCTTTATTGGCACTAGTTTTTAAATTTTGTTGCATTGCTTCTCTTCCATTTCCCCTCTATTGCACATGATAAGCATTATTTTCTCATTTGTCAGGAAGGAAATTCCCATCACAATATCTAGCAGCTCTTGAGGCTGTGAATGTCTTATAATTTTAGAAGGTTCAGATCAGAAAACATACAGTTTCTGACTCTTAAAAGTACAACCTAGATATGTAACACATTGAAAGACTGACTAATCCAGTCTTGATCACTTAAGGATTTGAGGAGTCGAGTCCTGCACTTTCAACCAAGTGTCAGGCATTGCTTCAGTATTTAGCTCTTCTTGAGTCTAGAAGGTCTTTGAGATTCTGGCCATAAAAATGAACTTAAGAGCAATAAATGTATTGTTGTAGCTTAAAGTTCCAGGAGCACAGCTTAGGTGCTGAACTATCTTTTAAATTTTTTCCTTTGTGAAATGTTTGTAGCTTGGGATGGCTAGTCAGAGGAACAATGGTGTTATAAAAGAGGTGGGTTAGATTCGCCTCACCACCTGATCATTTCATTTTGGATGAAAATTTAGCAGCTGACATTGCAAACCTTGAGAAAGTGTTGACTGCCTATTCAAATGTAGTTTAGAGGGTTTTAGATTCTGATAGTAATAAGTGCAGAACCTTTTTTTCGCAATTGTGTGGTTACAAAAAGATTTCAGTTGATGGCCCATGAGATTTGACAACATATTCTGTTTGATATTTTAACGGTTTGAAAAAGGAGTTTTAGAATATGTATCTGGAAACTGTGTAATGCAGTTTTCAATCTACTGTGTAACCTTTCCATTACAAGACTTTTTCCCTCTTAATCCTGTCCAGTGGATTTCTGGTCCTCTGAGGAGTGTGCCTCAGTACACCTCTCCATGAGTGCTTAGGAAGGGCTTTAGGTGGCTCCTTTGTGGCCTCCAGCTTTCATTCTGCATAATGCATCAGGGTTCCTCCTGGGTCTGCATCTTACTTCCTGGAGTGGTTTCTCTGGGAAGTAATTGACTCAATGTATTGCTTCTTAGTCTTCCCCTTGCTCTTTATGGCAGGGTCTGATTGATACAGGTATAAACATCAGGGCTAGCAGCTGCTTTACAGTTTCAGGGAGGGATAACTGATGAAGACTTGTCCATTAGTTGGGAGTTGGGAAAGCCCCTGTTTTGGTAGCAGTGTGGTCATCTCCTCTGGAATGAATACTCATCCTTCCTCTCACAGAATCTCCTCTTGCTTGAGTTTATTGGCATTCATGTGATTTGCATGACAAATTTCGGTCTAATAGCTTATACTCAAACCACCTCTGCAGTTGTCTGTCAGTTGTTTGTAGATGTGAAGAGGCAAAAATGACTGGTCTCTGGGTCCTGTTCTAACTGGAAGGGCATTCTTTGATGTGTGAAAGTTAAGAGGACAACTTACACCTGGAATTCACGAAACTAGATCCTGCATTGACCTGGAGGAGGTGAGGTGAGACAGGGCACAAATGAAGCACAGGCATGGGGTCCAAGAATAAATGGGGAGCTGGTGGTAAGCAGGTGTGAGGTCTGGATTGTGGACCATCCTATGGGTCCTTTTGGGAGGGACAGTTGCATCATGCTGGGTGAGGATGATCCTTTAAATGGGTCAGACCAACCCAGGCATGAAAACTAAATGCTAAATTCTTTCTGAATTCAATTCTGGACCAGAACAAGGACATAAATGAGACCTGCTGGATATGTCTCCTTAATAGACATTTGTAACAAAAGTCACCCATTTGCTTCAAAGTTCTCTCATTATAAGCCATAGTTGCTGTTGGGAAGCTGATGCCATTTCTCAGTCCTCTCTTTGCTTCTGCCCTCCCCTTTGTTGCAGTAGATCTGCTGAAGAATCTTGAAATGCCAGCAGAAGGTTGAAAGGGAAGACCTTGGAGTTTTCACATTCTCAAAAAATAGGTGGCACTGAGAGGTCTTATTTTATAGATAAACCAGCTATGTTGGTTTCAGAGTAATTCAATTTTCATAGTTGTTTTTCTTTTAAAAGTCCCTATTCTAGAAGGTACACACCCTCCTTACCGTAGAATTCTAGTTAATAAATGTAGAAGAAAAGATGGGAAATGGAAAAGCACCATTTGGTAAACACCACGGCAATAATTGTTGCAAGCAAGAATCATCAATGGATGCTGAAAATAGTAGGTGAAAAGTATGATGAAACAGGATATTTACTTAGTCCCAAAGTATCTCCCCACAAGAAATTTATAAGCTAAAAGGAGAAAATAGTGGTTTTAAGGTGGAAAACCTAGCAAACACCAGCTTAAACAAGTGATCAAAGTTAGTATCATCAGCACTAATACATATCAATATTGTATACCTCTTGATATGATACAGGTGAAAGAACATCACTTCTATGGTATTCGTCCCAAAATGCACACCACAAACTAATAGTGAGGTGATATCAGATAAACCCAAATAGAAAGTCAGTCTGCAAAATTGCCAGCTAATACTCTTCAAATGTCAAGGTCACGGAAGACAAAGACAGACTAAGGAAATGTCCCGGATTGGAGGGGACTTAGTAGAAATGGCATCTAAATTCAGTGTGAGTTCCTGAATTGAATTCTAGACCAGCAGAAGGACATAAATGGAACAATTGGTAAAATTGAGTAGTCTGTTAACTAGTTAAGATTATAGTATCAATGTTAATTTCCTATCATTGTTATGTAGTTACGTAAAATGTTAATATCTGGAAAAGCTGAGTAAAGGGTATGTGGAAACTCTTTGAACAAATTTTTCAACTTTCAGTTTTTTTTGTAAATTTGAAATTATTTTTAAAAAGCAAATGTCTTTTTAGGAGATATTATGCTTTATTGAATTAATGGATTCATTAACTCCTTCATGCCCTGTCTATGTATAGCTAGTTACCCTTCTAAGAAAATGAAAGCCTGTGATAGATTTCCCTTTGCTGGTATCATTTTACTTCAATATTTAGACTAAATGTTTTTAGCTTCTCTAGGTGACTATCTCCTCCCATTACTACCAATGAGAAAATATATTCACAAATCTACTGTGGAATACTGGGGGTGCTCTTAGTAGAGTCCATAGTGGTGCTCTTAGTAGAGTCCTAGTGAAAGTAGAGGCCTATTTACTGTAAAGTTTTTGTAGCTTCAGTTTTAGTACCCTTCCCCCCATGAGCTTTTTCCAAGGCTCTCCACTTTATATATATATAAACTTATATATATATTTATATTATATATGTTATATATATTTATATTATATATGTTATATATATTTATATTATATATGTTATATATATTTATATTATATATTATATATATTTATATTATATATATTATATATTTATATTATATATTTATATTATATTTATATTATATATATTATATATATTATATATATATAAAGTGGAGAGCCTTGGAAGAGCCTTGGAAGAGGCTCATAAATATATATATTTATATATTATATATATATTTATATATAAATATATATAAATATATATATAAATAAATTATATATATATAAATTATATATATATAAATTTGAGATGAGTCTTGCTCTATTGCCCTTGCACTGCTGGAAGGCAGTGGTGTGATCATAGCTCACTGCATTTTCAGATTCCTGGGCTTAAGTGATTCTGCCTCCTTAGCCTCCTGAGTAGCTGGGACTACAGACCTGTGCCACCATGTCCGGCTATTTTTTTTTTAATTTTATTTGTAGTAGAGACAGTTTCTCTATGTTGCCCAGGCTGATCTCCAACTCTTGGGGTCAAGTTATCCTCCAACCTCAGCCTCCCAAAGTGCTGAGATTACAGACATGAGCCACTGTGCCTGGCTTTCCACTTAAGTATGAATTCATAAAGTTATATACTTAAAGGGAGTCCTCCACATGGAATCAGCTTCAGGCCCCCACCCCCACCCCATACCTGGATCTGTTCCTGCTTAATGGGAATACTTTGCCTGAGGCAGTTCCATACAAGATAACACAGCCCGTTTACATCCTGGCTCATTTTCAAAACAGCACAGAAGAAAACAACATCATGTTGAAGCTGGAATAGAATATTTCAAAAGTTTTCCTTTGTTTAATTTGGCTCACTACCTGGCTAGGCAGACATGCAATCAAATGAAACAAAAGTAAATGCAAATGGAAAGCATTCTTGTATGCAGACTGAAATTGAGCACATTTAGTCAGAAGATCAGATTTGCCTCATCCACAAGATCACTGTCCAGAGGAATACCCTTTGGTTACTTGGAAGTGTCATTGCTTAGACTTTGCCTTGAAGCTGCAGCTGTAAACAGCATCTAATACTTGGAACCATTGCTCCCAGCCCCTGCCACCAGTTCATCCCGCTTCATTGTATCTCTCAGATAAGCTCACAGCCCAAGGTTCTTCAACCTTGTACAAGACCTCACAAGAAGAGGCAAATTTTGCATATGTAGAAATCTGTGTTAAATAAAATACAGGATCAAGCCAAGGAGCATGAAATTTGGAGTTGGTGCTGACAGCCCCTCATTCCTGTCACTTATTAATTTTATTTCCCTCCTCAGCTTGTGTCATTGCCTAAAAATTATTTAAACACAGGTTTTCATATGCTGTGATTTAACTCTTTATAACCTTTAGTACCACATGGGAATTAGTAATCTCTTTCTTTATGAACATTTTTATTGAGCTTATTCTTATGGAAATTTGATCTTTAGTAATTTTATCAGAGGGATTTTTTTTTTCTTTTAACCAGATGTAAACCTAGCTCTAGTAGCCCTGAACTTAACAGCAACATTTTTTCCTGGTCACACAATTCTGAAATCAGAGGATTAGTAGTACAATATAAGAAACATGGCACTCACTTTGAAGTTGTCTTCCAGGTTTTCACAGGAGTGTGTGTGTATGTGAGTGTGTGTGCATGTGCCACATGAATGCGTGTGCTTTTTGGAAAGTTTTATTGCCATCTCTTTCTTTCACAGGTTGTTTGATTATCTGTGTTTTCAGAGTAAGCAGAGAACAGAATGTAGAAGTTGTTTGAAATTACAAATTAAACTAGTTGCACTAGGAATAAAATATTAGTGAATGAAGAGTTTGTTGGGAAAGCCTCACATGAGAATGGTTTCTTTTTTTAATTAATGAAATGCTGAAATATACCAATACTGCTTTGGATGTTGTTTTATCTCTGGGCTATGAAGAAAACCAGTTGTTTGATTGTGAAATGAAATCAAAACCAGAGAAAAAAATACTATTTTTAAGGAAGACTTACTATGAAAGTTATTGTGCAAACTAAGTCCTGTTTACCACAGGTTAGCTAACATGTATATGAGTCAATCATTTGCCAAAACACTAGAATTGTGTTATGAAGAACCTAGCAATCATTAGAGCCCCTTGTGAGTTAAGCCCAGAAAACCTCATGTGTGGAACAGCCCTCTGGTCATCAAATATCTGAGGATACAGAAGAGATTATTTAATTGACTTCAAAACTTTATTAGACCTAATGTTCTTAAATATGTTCAGCCAAGTCATGCCCTCTGTATCCTTTCTTAATGTCTTAAATGTGTGTGGCTTCTCTGCCCCACCCTCCCAATTTGGCTGTCAGTCTACAAAGGAAATAAAAAAAAAATAGCAGACCCAGTTTCCAGGCTGTTTTGTTTTATGGAGATGCTAAAAGGCAGCTTATTTCATATTGATCATACCAGGGAACTAGCCAAGTATGGTGTTAATTGGGTCCTCTGGAATTCTACGCCCCCGGGACCAAAAGCTTTCTAGTAAGGAGGGGAATAAACCCACAGGCTGCATAAAAATGAAATCCAGGAGCCCACCATGTCCCGATTGCTGATTACTGGTGATTTGGCCAGCTCGTTTTGTATCCAGTTGCTTATTTCAATTAGCTTGTTTTGTGTTATGTTTCCCCACACCCCCCTTTCCTGCAAAGCTGTGAAGCCTTGTTTTGAAAACTGCTGCCCCAGAGTGCACCGGCTTGGCGGTCCTGTCCTCATTGTTCTAATGCTCATTCCATATGTGGGTCACATCCTAGAGCTCTCCCCCCAGCCCTCCCCCTCACTTCTCCAGCCATCTCTCCTTCCCTTCCCTGTCCATACATTGGTGCTTGCACTCTCGCACTCTTTTACACACACGCATGCACACACACACACACACACACACACACACACTTTTCTCCTAAGAGGCAGAGGTAGGGCAGATTCTTCAGGAGCTTGCAAGTAGGATCGTTCAAACTTAAAACGCTGGTTGCTGTGCATTTAGTTTATGGCAAACACTTCACCTTCGGGAAAGTAATTATTCTGCTCCTCTCCCTGTTTCTTTCCCACCCCTTCCCTTTTCTCCTCTCTTCTTCAGGACAAAGGTTTTTAAGAAACTGAGATTGCCACTTCGTGAGGCCCTTCTTGTTACCCTGGTAGCTGGTATCTCAGACAGTGAATGAAGGATGGATCAGACAGGCTGGAGTTTTGATGCACAGTTCTTTGGGTACTGCAGGAGGAGCCCACTGAGAAATGTGCATGGCGGGCATGCCTGCTGAGTTTATTATGCTGGTTATCTGTCACTTACTCTGACTAAAAGGTAAGGGCTTCTGTAATTTGTTGCTGCAAAGAATTGGTACATTGTTCTCTTTCTAAGGCTTCCAACTAATTGGCTCTTGAGGGAAGATTGGAATGAGAGTTAGTGCTCGACTTCTGTAGCTTCTCCTGTTAGATCTCTGTTTTTTTTTTTTTAATATGTGAAGGAAAAATAACCTTGGCAATTTTTTGACTATTGGTGGAATGTCTATTCACTTGTTTTCAAAGAAAAACAACAAAAAACACCCTTTGATTCATGATGTTTATTTTAATTTAAAACTTTTCCTGGACTAGTAAAGAAATGTAGTGTATGTGTAGTCAATCTTTTCAATGATTTCTGTAAACTGTGGGAATAGGAGTTGTGATCTTATCCCAAGATAAGAATATTTTACTTTAACAGATTGCATTTTTACCGATTGAAAATTACAGTGCATTTTATTTAGTAATCAGAGTGAGGAAAGTTAGAGACTATTTAAATGAAGTACAATAGTAACATTTACATTAATTGGTCAGTTACTGTAGTGTGGGAATACACATGTTGATAAATATACATTACTAATTATGCTTCTTGTTTTCTGTATACTTAGAGGAAAGTTTTGTGTCTGTGCAGAATTGAAATATGTACTGAACCACAGGCAAAAGAATCTTAGTAATAAGAATTTTAGCAAAAGAATCTTAGTAGTAAGTACTTAGAAAACTATATAAATTTTTTATTTGTATAAATTTAAGAGATGCAAGTGTAGTTTTGTTACATGGATATAATGTGTATTGGTGAACTGTCAGCTTTTAGTGTATTCATTACCTGAAAAGTATGTGTGTATATACGTGTGTGTGTATATATATATGTGTATGTTTGTATATGTATATACATGTATATACACATATAAGTTTCTGTAGTTGACGGGTAACACATGACCTGAAAATAACCTTTTTAAAGTTTCCACGACAATATTTATTTGACATGCTAAGCATTTTTTCTGTATCATGACGAGTAGTTTCATGGATAAATTTAGGTAATAGCTATTGGAAATCATCTGATGCCACCAAGCAACTGTCTTGCAAGACCAGAGATGTTTTGAGCGTAGGGTACAACCAGATTTTTTTCCATTCTTTTTACTTTTATTTTTAAATTTTTATTTAAAAAACTTTTTTTGAGATGGAATCTCAGTCTTATATGTGTATGTATATATATACACATATATGTATATATATACATACACATATATATACACACACATATATGTGTACATATACACACACACATATATGTATATATCTTAAGGTTATGCTTTTAATCTGTCCTACTTAAAGTAATTAAAACTAGACTATCAGTTGATTGTTATCTCTCGGAAAAATGTACCTTTGGTTAAGAATCATTTCAAAAACAGATTGCCCATCACTATGGAATTTATGCAGTTGGAAACCAACTGAGCTTTATTGAAAAAAATGATTACGTCTTATTTTCTTAAGCACTAGTGATTTACAAGGACCGTTTGGTAGTAGCATAGGATGTATTTTATTGGGGACGGAGATCCCTTTAATGATATTTTCTTTATGGCTGCTGTACAACACTTGTGATGTGTGTTACAGTCTATCTCTATTTATCACTCTGTCTCATGAGCCATAAATGAAGGAAAGGTATATGTTGGGATACCCAATTTAAGTCACCTTATTTTATTTATTACGTTATAGAATTTGCTCCAAAGAGCATGTGGGAAGTGTTTTCTTCAAAAGGAAATATTGATGCATCCACTTAAACAACCTAGGGATATCAGCAAAACAAACTGGGTTTCTTTCATGTTAGACTTTGAGAAGAGACAAGAAGCAATCTGGGTGAAAGGAGGACACTATCAGTAAAAGAGAAGACTGTAATTTTCTTGACCTTGGCTCAAAGGTTTCTGTCAAGACTGCTGGAGGTTGAATAGGTAGAGTAGGGCCCAGATTTAAAGCTGGTGTCTCTCCCACACCTAACCCTCATCCCAGTCCCTCACTGTCCAGTGTCTTTGTCATTCAGTCTCCCCTGGTTTAATGTGTCAGCAGGAGGGCTTTATCTTCTTTTCAAAATCAAAAGGAGATGGCCCAGTGTGGCTCCTACATACCCATGAAAACCTTAAACATTTCCCCTTCCACATTTTATCCCAATCATCTACATTGAGTAAAAATAAACAAGGAAAAAAAAAACAAATACTTCGCCTTCATAATCAATTTTTCTTCTCTTCCAAGTTTTCGAACTTTGTTACTTAAAATGTCAACTGTATATATCCCTTACATAAAGCATAACAGTCTTAGGATACCTTTTCAGGTACAAAATCAGTGACTCTCAACCTGGGCGTATTCAAAGGACTCCCTTGTGGAGTGTTTGAATAATGCAGGCTCCAGCTACTGCCTACAGGAATTCGTGATTCTGTAGTCTTCATTAGTGCTTGGTATATGGGAGTTGTTTAGTAATAGTCACAGAATGTTACACAGTGAAATGTTTTCGCAGTAGTCTGACAGGACAGTGGATAAGTGCATTGCAAAATCTTTTCTGCTTCCTCTTTAGTTGAATTTGGAGAAGGGAAATTCCCTCCCTCTATTCTTCCTACATGTATATTAAGGAAAATGGGGCTTCTTTTGCAGAGGTTTCCAAGCCTCTGAAAGTAGATGAATCACCCTTAAAAGGCTAATAGGTCCCGCTAATCATTTTGCACCACACAAAACAAATAGTGACTTCTGTATCAGTAATACTAGTAAACAGCTGTCCTAGAAATGACTGTGAACATTAGTCCTAGGGCTCTCACAAACCTCAAAGTGATATATGGAGAGAACCCAGCAAATTGAAAACATTCTCTTTTTGTGAGTATATTTTAGGTGTATCTTGTCACTTGAGCCAGTAGGAGCGTGCTTCTTGGATAATAATATGGGTTTCCCAAACAACTCTTGAAGCACCTAGATCCATACATGTCGGATGCAAAACCATATCCATGGACCTGGAACTGGGCTGTGACCTAAGTGCTTGTTTTTCCCATCAAAGCGTCTTTCCTTTGGTACCTTCGCTAGTTTAGACTGGGTCTTGAAAATTTGTTAGTTTCCCTGAAGCTATACGGGCAAATTCTGGGGAAAACAAAACAAAACAAAACTCAAACAACATGCTGATATCTTAATATTATCTGTAATATGAGGACTTGAATTATGATAGCTGTTCTTTAAGTACTTCCCAGCTTTCTAATCTCTAAATTTTAATCTTTATGACTATAATCAATTCTTAGTAAAGTCAGTTCTGCTATCACACTTGTTTTGAAAAGGCAAATTTGTTCCAAAGCAATTGATATATTCAAGACAAGCATAAAACAAATGCTGTATTTGCTTATGTGTGATTTCCTCCCAGAGAAACACTAGGTAAATGCAGAAACTGTAGCCAGCTGAATGCCACATAGGAAAACCAAAAATGCACCCATGTTTTAGGAGCCCCACCCATCCACATCTGGGACTACCAACTTTCTGTCTGATTTCAGAATGCCCTTCTTCCACCACTTCACAATAACCCACAAGCCTCATTCCTTAACCACATTCACTTCCACAGTAAATCCCAGTTTTTTAATGTGATAATATGCCATGTTTATTGTTGTATTTGTATATTTCTCAACAATTTAACACATATAAAACTGTGCTACCATTTTTATTATGTTTCTGCTTCTTTTTAATGTGTTACTGACAATGTTTTTGATTGTTGTACCTCAAACCCATTTTTTGTTTTGTTTTGTTTTGTTTCGTTTTGAGACAGACTCTCACCCTGTCGCCCAGGCTAGAGTGCAGTGGTGCAATCTTGGCTCACTGCAACCTCCGCCTCCTGGGTTCAAGCAGTTCTCCTGCCTCAGCCTCCTGAGTAGCTTGGATTACAGGCATGCGCCAACATGCCTGGCTAATTTTTGTATTTTTAGTAGAGACGGGGTTTCACCATGTTGGTCAGGCCGGTCTTGAACTCCTGACCTAGTGATCTGCCGACCTCGGCCTCCCAAAGTGCTGGGATGACAGGCATGGGCCACCGCACCCGGCCTCAAACCTAATTTTTCCAGTAAGCCACTTGGTTTTTACTGTGCGATTTTGCAGAGCACAAAGAATTTCAGCAACACATACATTCTACTGGAGCAGAACTGACTGTATGGATTTTGATATGATAAAATTCTCAGAGGCTAAGTGCCAAGGATATTTTGCATGCTGTAGCATTGTTTGTTATGAATGTGGTCAACTTAGCCTGTTTTCTCCTACTGTATATTTTTTCAATGACTCTATAGAACTGCCTCAGAAAAACCATTTATCAAACCTTCAAACTTCAGGGAAAGTTGTGTGACATTCTCAAAAGTGAAGACTACAAAAGATGATTAGATACTTGGTCCAATCCTAGGAATGAAGTTTTGTGGTTTTGGCTAATTAATAATTAAGGTCATTGGATCATTTGATTTTTAACAGATTCTAAGGTTCAGATGAGAACATGGAGATGTATTTCTTCAGGTATGCAACTTAAACAAATACAAATTTGATAATTTTTACATTTGTAAAAAAACATATGAAGCCCCTCATTGCATGAAACAAGGAAAATGCTGGACTGGTTTGGTAGAAGGGAAAGAGAATTTTAATCTCCCGAAGCAGTAGAGGGGTAAGTATATACTGTAGGCTTTTTTGTTTGCTTTTATTGTCTGCTTATTGTGGGTCTGGAAATTGGAGTTTGGGTTTTTGTTTCTGATTCTCCTCAGGGTTCTGACTTTTGGCCACAAGCAGTTACAGGCTGCCAGTACTCTGAGTATCCTCTTGCCACTTCCTGCTGGGCTAATGTTTATTTCACCACTGAACTTGCCTTCCAGAACTTTGCAGAAATTCTCTAGGGAACTGAATGTCCCAAGACCTGAGTTTGAAGCCAGAATTGGGACCCTGGAGTTGTCCTAAGGCTCGTTTTTAGCTGTGTTATCTTGCAAACTACAGGGCCAAGCTTTTTTACCCTCAGTTGCCAAGTGGAGCTCTCCTCCCACTCCTTCACTAGAACTTTTCCTTTTAAAGTAGAACCATTTGAAACCTTTCTGGGCACAGCAGTGATAGTGAGGGAAGGTCACATGATCATGCTTTGAACTTGGCTGCTTGGGTGTGTAGCATGGTGCCTTGGGTATGTGGCATGGTACCTGGGTATGTCAGCTCAAGACTTTTTTACTCCTAAATATACATACAGCAGTTTAATTACAACCTTCACGGGCTTCTGGTTGAAGAGAGGAAACATAAGAAACATTGATACTGAAATACACAAACAAGTTGGCAAGGAGAATAAAAATGATAATCCTGTGAATAACCTTGAGATTTTCCTAAGCAGATCTTCAAGCTGACATGATCAGGGTCCTTCTATAGCACATCAGGTGTTAAAAATGTAAAAAACAGTGCCTACTAGATCCAATTTGGCTCTTTATTTACTGAGATTAAAAATTATTCATACTCACTCTATGGTTATTTGTTGAGAGACACTTGCAAATCAAAGCCTGAAACCATGAAAATTACAAAACAAAAGTAAGTTTTTTGAGGACATGATGCAAACATTCCACTATAAGGTCACAAAGTTTACTGTTAACACAATATTGGTTAGTCAAACCTCAGTGTGTGTGTGTATATATATGTGTGTGTGTGTGTGTGTGTGTGTGTATATATATATATATATATATATATATATATATATAGAGAGAGAGAGAGAGAGAGAGAGAGAGAGAGAGACTGTGTTGCCCAGGCTGGAGTGCAGTGGCACGATATCAGCTCATTGCAACCACTGCCTTTTAGGCTCAAGTGATCCTCCCGCCTCAGCCTCCCGAGTAGCGGGGACTACAGACATGCATCACCACACCTGGATAATTTTTGTTTTTCATAGAGACAGGGTTTCTCCATGTTGCCCAGGCTGGTGTCAAACTTCCGGTCTCAAGTGATCCACCCACCTTGGCCTCCCAAAGTGCCAGGATTATAGACGTGAGCCACCATGCCTGATCCAATCATAATTTTTAAATAAAATAAATTTAAAGTAAATTGAACAGCATATATTACTTATTCAAAGGGGAAAGGTTGAAATTTGTCTTCATACATAATGAATATTATTAAAATTGTATTAAATGAACTTTCTGATAAAATCTTTAATAATGCATTGATCTCAAGTGAAATGCTTTATTTTAAATCTCTTATATACCATGCAAAAATGATGAAATCATTAAAAGATTTCCTAAGGGATTTCCAGTGATTATATGTTTTGGTGAAAAAAAGGATTCAAAAGTAAAAAATGAATAGAAAATACTAGGCTCAAATATCACCCAGGTCCTCTGTGGAGTCTACAGCTCTGACATGCCTTGAGCCAAGCAGAACTAGGGATAAAAAGAGAAATAGGGGGACCAGCTTACTTTGGAAGTGTAAAAAAGACACTCCACTTGAAGCGCAGTAAATACAGAAGGTTTCCTTTCACTGAAAAGGAGTGAGATTTCAGTACTCAGACGCAATCTGTGCCCTAAGATAACATGCTTGTTGGCAGGAGTATAACTGTTGGTTGTTGAAGAAATATATACAAAATGCATATTTAACAGTTGCTTTGATTAAAAAAAACTAATCTACGAGTCTGTTTTTGTATTGACAATGGTTCTCCTAATGGCATGCCAAAAATATACCCCCAGCTATCCATGCTTAACAAGTTGAATTGGAGATGGATTACCTCTTGAGTACTCTACAATTGACTGCTTCCGTTAGTCTTGGCAAATTATACAGCCAAATTGTCTATCTATTTTCTAATATGTCAGCAAAATTAAGCTGAAAAATGCATACAAGAATAAATTGCTGCTGGAATTGCATGATGCCCACCTTTTCTTTGTGTTGAGGAAAAAAAAATGATTAAATCACACTTTGGAATCATTCTATTTCAATCAACTCTATTTAGATCCTAGGTCTGGTTTAGGGAAGGTCTGTGAGACCTTTAGCTGCTGGGTATTGAGCTCAGTAAACTATTTAATAGCCACATTGTAGCTTTCAGTCAATGATTTTCCACATTCCAATCTTTCTCCACTTTGGAGCCAGCCTTTTTGGGAAAACGGAGACCCATGGTTTCATTTCAACAAAGAAGGAATAACCAATCATGGAACATATTGGCTGTGCCACCAAGGAGGTGGCAGATGAGGATTTGGGGACTTCAGGACTGATGATTCTGAATCTTGACATGTTATTAGACTCATTGCAATATGGCCAAAATTTTGAGTATCCTGGTTACTCAAGGCTACAGGCAAGAATTATTTTGAGTGCAGCTGTCAGAATTAAAAATAAAGGAAAGACTGAATGAATGAATGAATGAAGAAAACCAGGACATGGATGATTAAAATATTTCTCTTCTCTCCCTGCAAACATGTGGACAGGGAGATTCCATGTAAACTCTTTCTCTCTTTTAATCATATTCTTTTGTTCTAAGGAATATTTAGATTATTTTTTCTCCAGTGGAAGTTCTTTCAGTTTTACTTACTACAGCTCAGTGATTGCAGATTGCTAATTTTGCTTGAAAACCAAAGGATTTGGTTGTTTTCACTTCATTAGCATCAGAAAGGGGGATTGGCTAAAGTGCTGGCCAAGGTAGCCTTGCAGAAGGAGGCAGGGTTGGTTTGGTAGGGAGAAAAGATTGTTCTTTGGAAATGTATAGAACTGGCTGTGCAAAAAATAAATAAAGCCATTCTCTAAGGTATTGCTGAATATCAAGTTCTCTTTGCTGGGTTGGAGTGAAGTCTATTGCAGGTATCTATGGCTTTTTCATGGTTGTCAGTAAGTGTATGCCGGAGACTAAATAGTGATGCCTGGTGCTTTTTTAGCACTAATAACTTTTACAAAGGTGTTTTCTACCTCCAAACTCCTAGAATTACATAATGTGTAGGAGACATAGGGGAAGGAAGAGTTCTGGCCAGGATCAAAGTGGGGGCACTGGTGTAATCATTATTCTGAACCTGCTGGTCTTGAGCAGTTTTCCCCAAAGTGGCCTCAGCCCTATCAAGCTTTGAAATATAGTGCCTTGATGCTAATAGTCGTTATTTTTTTGTTTGCATTTATTCAGTACAAAAGTCTCCAGCTGTGATGGAACTTTGCCCACAGTGACAGGAGGGAGTTATTCTCAATCTTCTGCCACTTCTAGGTTGCTTTTTCTTTAGCAGAAATCATATGTCTTCACTCTGAAATTATATGTCTTTACTCTGAAAATATTTTGTAAAGTACTTCGTAAAGTATTTTGTAAAGTACTTTGCAGACTCCAACTCCATGGTGTAGAGGAGACACCATATCATAGTGTGGATTTCTAGAAAGGAGTAGACTGAGATATAGACAGGTGATGTAGCAGCCTTGATATCCTATCCCATAGAGACCTAGTGGTGAAGCAGGAAGCAATCAGCTTCACACTATTTGGAGAAGAGGAAAAGTTGTGATTTTCCTCTTCTGTGGGAAAAGACCCCCACAAAAGAAGATAGGACCATTTGTGCCTCCAATTTCTTTTTTCACGTAGTCATTTCAAAGCATTCTCTCATTTTTGTAGCTCATACAGTTCTGGGGGTTAGCAATGGCAGTATGTTTTGAAAATAAATGATACTCAGAAGGGAGAGGTAATAGGGAGAGTTCTAATTCCGTGAGATTTGTACTGTAAAGTATGTATGGTTCTAGCACCAGAATCCTCCTCCTTTTCAGATTATTTAGCCCTAATTACTTATTTCCCCTTTGCTTCCTAAACTCCTAGGAGATAAACTCCTTGAAGAAAAACTCCAGCTTATGGAAATAAATATTTTTGCTCAGAGAACACAGGAATCATAATTTTTTGGAATTGAAATACCCATAAGAGTAAAAGCATTGTTTTTCTTAAATATATTCAATACTACTGGCCAATCCAGAGGTCTTTCCTGAATTAACACAAACATTAAAAAGTTGAAGTTTAATGCTTGGGGAAGATACCAGGAGAACTGGTAGGCACAAATCTTGCTTTGAGACACTGGCCAAGGAGGGTGTTTTGGTAGATGGTACAGGCAGACCCTATGACACGAATGCTGGATTCTGCAACTGCATGTGCTGAGTGCAGCAAAGAGTCCATGTGCTGAATGTGGAATTCACTCATTCATTTGTTCTCAACTATTTATGGAGCATATTCTATGTGCAATAAACACAACAAACATCCTCTTCTCATGGAACCTTCTCGTGGGAGAGCTTTGATCAGTTGCTTATATGCATGCACTCATACACAATCTAAACAACAACAACAACAATAACAAAAAGCCCAGGTGATTATTGGACATCTCTATGAAAGGCACTGGGCAATAAAATGGCAAGCAAGAATCTTTTCCCCTAGAGTAATCAGCGTGTTTCACAATTAAGAGGTAAAATATCATAAAAGTCTTCCCCTACGTTTGTGTGTGGTTTTCTTTCGTTGTTCAAGTTGATCGGGATATAATTGGTTGATACTCTTGAATAAGTCAAGGTTGCAAGCAGTGGACAATATGTGTTCAACACTGAATGATGGGAAAAATACAAAGTGGTAGAATTCATATAACACTGAATGATAGGAAAAATACAAAGTGGTAGAATTCAAACATTTTTTGGTAGCCCAAGATTTAAGGCAACAATAAACCATTGTTTCTTCAACTCATGTTTTAAAAAGTCATTATAAACTACTTTAATCTCTCTGTGTGTTCAGTAAGTATAATAGTGTGAATATTCCTTCCATCAGCGCCAACAACATTGATGCATCTTATGTCCTGTGCAAAGTGTTGCTGATAGAAAAATGGGTGAGACATAGTTCCTACCCTTAAGGAGAATATAATATTGAGGATTTGAAATATTACGAGAATCTGCTTCTAAAAGTAATTTTTTCTTATACAGTTTTGTAGATGCATGTTTAGGAGATAAGGAAAACTGAGCTATGAATATAAAGTACCCAGTATAAACACAGGCAATCCTCTTGCCATTTCTAATCAAGTATATATAAAAATGACATTCTGAGAATGCTTGTACTAGTGTTTTTCAAACTGTATTCAGTGAAAACATGTTAATAGTTATGGGAGAGGAGTAGGGATGAGGAAGACAGAGGGAGTTTTTATGGTCAAATCAGTTTGTCAAACACGGGTAAAGGAAGTAAGCAAGTTTTTCTTATGCATGCTTCTCCCAAAACTTTAATTTGCTAGTGTGCATTGTGACACTCCAGGATGGGTTATTGCAGTAGTTCCCAAATTTAGCATCATAATCACAAAGTCCTGGGCTCCAGAGATTCACTGAAACAAAACTCTGGCAGGTGAGAACTGGGGATTTTCATTTATTAGGTTGGTGCAAAAGTAATTGCGATTTTTGCAATGAGTAATGGCAAAAGCTGCAGTTACTTTTGCATCAGCCTAATAAAACACATTTGGGAGATTACTTTTAGGTAGTCTTAGTTACTTTTAGGCAGAGTCAGTTTATTTCAGCACTGGTCCCATGTACCATTGACATGCAGGAAGGAGCCCTCCCTGATTTGCATAACAGCAGAACATCGTTTATCCAAGAAATGCATATTGACATTTATGGAACTAACAGTTTGGAAATGCTGGCCCATGCATTCTTTTACCAAAGGCCTAAAGAAAAAAAAAATTATAGGTAACAAGTTCACTAGTTTGGGACTTAGAGTTAATGTATATTTTGTGTGTGGTGGTTAAGATAGCACTAAGGATCAAATTCATTTTTTTGAACCCACATTGATGGTAATTTATTATTTTTAAAGTGGTGCTTATGGCTGGGTGCAGTGGCTCACGCCTGTAATCCCAGCACTTTGGGAGGCCAAGGCAGGTAGGTCACCTGAGGTCAGGAGTTTGAGACCAGCCTGACCAACATGGTGAAACCCCATCTCTACTAAATACAAAAAAAAATTAGCTGGTCATGGTGGCACATACCTGCAATCCCAGGTACTTGAGAGGCTGAGGCAGGAGAATCACTTGAACCCAGGAGGCAGAGGTTGCAGTGAGCTGAGATTGCGCCATTGCACTCCAGCCTGGGCAATGGAGCGAAACTCCATCTCAAAAAAAAAAAGGGGGGGGTACTTATTTATAATGTCCTTAGACCATTTTCCCCCTTTTTTCAGCTAATATTCTCACACAGTTTGAATTTAATTTATAGTAAACTTTGCTTTGTTCTGTCACTTTCCTAGAGAACAATGCTTAAAGTTGTTGGATATATAAAACTCAAATTCCTAGAGATAGGAAATTGTATAATTAGGGTAAATTTGATAAGGTGTTGGCATGAAATAAGATAACTCTTTAAAGAGAGAAGAGAATGAAGGATCTTATTTATATAACTAATTCTTGGCCGGGCACGGTGGCTCACTCCTGTAATCCCAGCACTTTGGGAGGCCAAGGCAGGCGGATCATGAGGTCAGGAGATCGAGACCATCCTGGCTAACACGGTGAAACCCCATCTCTACTAAAAATACAAAAAAAATAGCCAGGCGTGGTGGCGGGTGCCTGTAGTCCCAGCTCCTTGGGAGGCTGAGGCAGGAGAATGGCGTGAACCCGAGAGGCGGAGCTTGCAGTGAGCCGAGATCGCGCCACTGCACTCCAGCCTGAGCAACAGGGCGAGACTCCGTCTCAAAAAAAAAAAAAAATTCTTGGTTGTTTTTAGGTCTGTACTCTAGATTATTAATTTATTATTCTGAGAGGGGTTACAGTGGCATAATTAAGATGATCTAATTAGACAAAAAAATTTACTGGTCCTGAAAACAGATCACTTTCCTGAGAAAAAAAGAAAAAAAAATTGGAAAAACCTTCAAAGAGGTTTGCCTTTCTCTTCATAAACACTATTATGCAGCATTTCAGAGCAAGCTACGGAGCTGGGCTTGGGCAGTTAAATCCTGACTTTGTGGTTTTGTGTAGACTTGGGGGTGCAGCTGTATCTTGAGTGGAGATAATAACCACTAATGGTAACCCCAGACACAGCTATTAGTGTCAGATTAAATCTAAATGCAACCTTCTTTTCCTTTTGAATATTCTCTTTGGTAAAATGTTTTTCGTAAACTCCTATTTGAGTCTCTGCTCACTTACTTTGTTTCAAGAGAGTATAAACCAGATCAGGGTGATTGTTCAAGTAAAAGTGACTGAGGCTCAATGCCATGAACATTGAGATTATAGGTGTATGAAAGGGCTTTGAAAATTTGTGTATAGTCATCATTGAAAACCTTGATTGCTGAAAATCAGACTCTGGTTAGATGTAGGCCTTGTCCTAAGGTCCAAGAAGAAAACATGAATGTAAGATAATGAAATACCACACCAATACAGCCCTACCTTGGAGATAGTGTGGGTTCAGGTCCAGACTACCACAATAAAGTGAAAATAGAAATAAAGCAAATCATGCAAAATTTTTGGTTTCCCAGTGCATATGAAAGTAAGGTTTACACTGTAACCTATTAAGAATACAATAACATTATGCCTTAAAAAATATACATACCTTAATTTAAAAATACTTTATTGCTAAAAAAAAATGCTAAGGGTCATCTGAGCCTTCAGTGAGTCACAATGTTTTTGCTGGTGGAAGGTCTTGCCTCGATGTTGATGGCTGCTGCTGACTAATCAGAGTGATGTTTTCTGAAGTTTGTGGTGGCAGAGGCAGTTTCCTAAAATAGGACAACAATGAAATTGTCCTCATTGACTCTTCCTTTCACGAAAGATTCCTCTGTAGCATGCGATGCTGTTTGATAGCATTTAACCTACAGCAGAACTTTCAAAATTGGAGTCAGTCCTCTCAAACTCTGCTGCTGCTTTATTAACCAAGTTTATGGAATACTCCTAAGTCATTTGTTCTCATTTCAACAAAGTTCACAGCATCTTCACCAGGAATAGATTATATCGGAAGAAATCACTTTCTTTGGTCATACTTGAGAAATAACTTCTCATCTGTTCA
Organism: Homo sapiens; assembly: GCF_000001405.40. Lineage (NCBI taxonomy): Eukaryota > Metazoa > Chordata > Mammalia > Primates > Hominidae > Homo > Homo sapiens. The sequence continues at coordinate 90,426 of NW_013171808.1, forward strand.
AGTTTTATCATAGATTGCAGCAACTCAGTTACATCTTCAGGTTCCACTTGTGATTCTAGTTCTCTCGCTGTTCCCACCACATCTGCCGTGACTTCCTCCTCTGAAGTCTTGAGCCCCTTAAAATCATCCATGAGGGTTACAATTAACTTTTTCCAAACTCCTGTTAATGTTGATATTTTGACCTCCCCCCAAGAATCACAAATCATCTTAATGACCTCTAGAATGATGATTTTTTTCTCCAAAATGTTTCAATTTACTTTACCAGATTCATCAGAGGAATCATTATATATGGCAACTATAGCCATTTGAAATGAATTTCTTAAATAGTAAGACTTGAAGTTGATCCATGGGCTGCATAGTGGATGTTGTGTTAGCAGGCATGAAAACAGCATTAATCTCCTTGTATATCTCCATCAGAGCTCTTGAGTGACCAGGTACATTGTTAATGAGCAGTAATATATATATACATATACATACATATATATATGTGTGTGTGTGTGTATGTGTGTGTATATATATATTTGAAACAGGGTCTTGCTCTGTCACCCAGTTTGGAGTGCAATGGCGTGATCATGGCTCACTGCAGCCTCCGCCTCCTAGGTTCAAGCAGTCCTCCCACCACAGACTCCCAAGTAACTGGGACAGAAGTGCATGTCACCATGCCTGGATAATTTTTTAATTTTTATTTTTGTAGAAACAGGATCTTTCTATGTTGCCCAGGCTGGTCTCAAACTCCTAAGTTCAAGTGATCCCCCCATGTTGACCTCCAAAAGTACTGGGATTATAGGCATAAGCCACTGCACCTGGCACAGTTAATACTTTTAAGGGAATCTTTTTTTTTCTTTTTTTTTTTTTTTTCTGAGCAGTAGGTCTCAACAATGAGCTTAAAATATTCAGTAAACTATGCTATAAACAGATGTGCTGTCACCCAGCCTTTGTTCTATCGACAGTGAACAAGCAGAGTAGATTTAGCATAATTCTTAAGGGCCCTAGATTTTCAGAATGGTAAATGATCAGTGGCTTCAGCTTAAAGTCACCAGCTGCATCAGCCCCTAACAAGAGAGTTAGCTTGTCTTTTGAAGCTTTGAAGTCTGGCGTTGACTGTTTTCTAGCTATGAAAGCTTCTTCTTTCAATAGAAGTCTGTTTTGCCTACAGATGAAACTGATTTTCAAATCAGTTGCTTCAGCGCTTGCTGCCTCATCTTGCACTGTTATGTTATAGAGATGGCTTCTTTTCCTAAACCTCATGAATCAACTTCTGCTAGCTTCGGACTTTTCTTATGCAGCTTCCTCAACTCTGTCAGCCTTCATAGAATTGAAGAAAGTTAGGGCCTTGCTCTGGATTAGACTTTGGCTTAAGGGAATGTTGTGGCTGGTTTGGTCTGCTGTTCAGACCACTAAAACCTTTTCCATATCAGCAATAAGGCTGTTTTGCTTTCTTATCATTCTTGTGTTCACCAAAGTAGCACTTATAATTTCCTGCAAGAATTTTTTCTTTTCAGTCACAACTTGGCTAATTGATGCAAGAGGCCTAGCTTTCAGCACATCTTGGCTTTCAACATGCCTTCCTTACTAAGCTTAATCATTTCTAGCTTTTGATTTAAAATGAGAGATGTGTGACTCTTCCTTTCACTTGAACACTTAGAGGACATTGTAGGGTTATTAATTGGCTGAATTTCAATATTGCCATGTGTCAGGGAATAGGGAGGCCCGAGGAGAGGGAGAGAGATGGGGAATGGCTTATTGGTAGAGCAGTTAGACCACAGTATTTATCAATTAAGTTCACCTTCTTATATGGGTGTGGTTCGTGGGACCCCAAGACAATTACAATAGTAACATCAGAGATCACTGATCACAGACCACCCTAACAGATATAATATGAAAAAGTTTGAAATATCATATTCTGAAATGTGACATAGAGACATGATGTGAGAACATGCTGTTGGAAAAATGGCGCCGATAGACTTGCTCAAAGCAGGGTTGCTGCAGATCTTCAATTTATAAAAACATAATCTGCAGTGTGCAATACAGTGAAGTGCAATAACATGAGGTATGCCTGTCCATGAATAGTGGCATCTAATCTATTTCATGACTATTATCATTAATCTAAAGATACACTGATGAAAAGACCAATTACTGCTGACATTTCTGCAAGTTGGAACTCTGTATATTCACCAGAGGACTTAACTGAAGACTGACACCAGGAATTTGAGGATGGATTCTAGCAGAGATATTCTAGGAACCAGGACCTTTAATCTGATCACATTTAAAACCCGTTTCAAACATGCTAGTTAAATTATGTCAAGTCTCTGGGGAGATATCTCTGGAATCTGAACATTCTCTGGGGATTGTTGTTTGACAGGTGGAGCAGGTGAGACTCATACAGCATGTGAAGTCATTAAGGTACAATTATGACAAGCTTGACTTGATCCTTTCTGATTTGCCTGCCAGCCTTGACAGCTCCAAACAGTTGGTGGGGACCTGAAGACACCACTTCTCTGGTTCCTTACAGCACAAACAGGGAATATATTCTGCTTCCTTTGGCTAGAGCTACATGAAAGAAATTTTTGCTGAGAAAGTGTAGAAAGCCCTTAGGTTGATGGTTAAGTTAGAAACTTTGGCCCTATTATCAGTGACTCCCTAGGTGTACACAATGAGTATAACAGTTTTTTGTTGTTGTTGTTTGTTTTTTGTTTTTACCTTAGTCTTCTTCCTCTTCATTTTTTTAACTCCTTTTTAAACCTGTGCTTTAATTGCAGGTAGACATTTTCTCATTCTGACAGGCAACTCCTTACTTTAGCCCTCATTTGACGTGTGGCTAAAATTGTGTCTGTGCTTTGGAATGCAGGACTTTGGCATGTCTGCAGCAGCTTGAGTGACATAGATTAAGGGACATTCTTCTTTTTTTGAGATGAGTCTCGCTCTGTCACCAGGCTGGAGTGCAGTGGTATGATCTTGGCTCATTTCAACCTTCACCTCCTGAGTTCAATTGATTCTCCTGCCTCAGTCTGCTGAGTAGCTGGGACTACAGGCATGCATCACCACGCCCAGCTAATTTTTGTATTTTTAGTAGATACCGGGTTTCACCGTGTTGGCGAGCATGGTCTCGATCTCTTGACCTCGTGATCTGCCCGCCTGGGCCTCCCAAAGTGCTGGGATTACAGGCATGAGCCACCATACCTGGCCGGGCCATTCTTTATTTGTGGGGATGTGTATATTTCTTTTATGCATTACTAAGCCCTTTCAGCTTATGGTCTAGCTCTCAAGCCATATCCATGTTGGTGAGAAAGTTTAAAACACACAGTAATTCTTGGGTAGGCAACATAATATTGCAGACAACCAGTACTGAACACCAGAGTCATGGAGGCTCCATCATATACTAGCTATGTGATTCTGAGCAAGTAGTTTTTCTTTGAAGCTTCAGTTTACCTATCTGCTGAAATGTGAAAAGTGGCTAATTAAACCTACCTCATAGAGTTGTCGTAAGTGAAATGACATGGGGTTGGACATATTTGCTTTCTAAAGAAACGTGATGTTATTTCAGCAATACCAGGGTAATGAATATTGTGTAGGCAAAAACAATCCTGTACAATATTGCAGACTTCAGCCTAGTTTTTGTGCAAGCTGCTTTCTGAATTAAAGGAATTAAAAACCAGGGAAAGAGTTGATCCTAATCCTTCTAACCGCCTTCCATGTGAATTGAACACACTTAATGTCTGTATTACTTATTGGATGCGGTAGACAAAGAAGGAAACATTTCAACCAGCCATCTACCTGTCCGAAAGCCCAGCCTTTCCTTTAGGACAACATCTCTTCCTTTCATTGCCTCCATCAGGATGGTTGTAGTTGATGGTGGATATAATAGATGTGACCTTATTTGACCATGGCTGGCTCTCCACCAAAGGGCATCCAAATAAATAAGCATGAAGCCTGTTGCTCCTAACCCACTCTGCTGGGACCAGGCGCAGCCCGCTAGTGTATTTTCCTTGTACAGTCTGGAGGAACCCAGCCTCTATCCCTGCTTCATCAGAAACTGGAGTCTTATTTTCTATTGGCTATTTACTCTCAAGACTTAGAAATAGGGACCTATATTGACTCACTTCTTATTTAGATTACTGAGTAAAAGTATAATAATTCTTTAATAATTCTGGGAACTGAAGCTTTCTGGAGTCAGCATTCACTGGCCCAGTGCAAAGTAACTGCTTTTTTATCCTACTATTGCACTTGAGAGGCAACTTGAAGTTTCCTTTCCTTTACTCAGTCACTTTTCAAGGGGAAATAGGAATAATCAGAATTTTAAGATATTCTGTATGCAGTATAGGTGCATTTTAAATAATATTTATTAAAAGACATGGAGTTACTTTTGCTTATCATGCAACTTATTACTGAATTTTTCTTTTTTGTCTGTGTTGAAAAGAAAAAGGTGGAAGAAAAAGACTTATGTAGGCTTCCTATTAAAAGGCACCTAGACTGAATAGAAGATTCCCTTTTATTTTTTTTTCTACTTGCAAAGCCAAGAGTCAGAGCCATGGAATCAGAGAATTCAAGTTCTTTATAGTTCAAGCAGAATGAAGCAGGGAATGGACAGAAATAGGTCATATTGTGATCGCAAAACTAGGACAATGAGGAGTTTCTTGGAGGATTCAAGCTCTGATGGATTCTTACTTTGGGGCAGAGCATTTCAGAAAATTCAGAAGCCAAGAGATATAGTATATGGCAGCCTCTAAAATATTTTAAAAACGCTTACTAGTCTGCATATTCTTTTCTTGTAAAAAGAAGTTAAAAGATGCGTTTTCTTTAATCACTTGTCAAGACAGTGGCTTTCTCCAGGATTATAAGACAGTGGATTAAATGTATCTTTCCCATTGCTTGTGGCCCTTGAATGATTTTCAGACATCATTGACTCCACACATGTTTAAAACGGAGTCAGCAGCAGCAACCCTTTCAGTAGCTGAAAGCTCCGGGTCCCATCCACTGGGTCTGCAAGTAAGTAGCCATTTGGCAGTGACTCTGAGGAAGTCACTTAACCCAAGAGAGTTCTCACCAATAAAACAAGGGGGATAGTTTGCCTCTTTAACTTCTAAAACGAGTATGGTATTCTCACTTTGGAGTGCAGTTTCAAGGTAATCTTGGAATTCTTGAACTGTTGCTCTTGATCTAAACAGTTACAAAAAGATGGAGAGAGAAGAGGCAGAAATTTCCATGAGTCCCTGTGTCTACCTTTCTTTTTCTCTTTCCAACAAGAGGATAGGGTGGTGCCCATGAAGGCTATGATTTTCAGCCTTGCAGACAGCTCTGGGAGTTGTTTGGGCCCCAGTTCCTGTCTTGTTCCTGCTGCTCATCCATTTAGGATTTGAGTATCTCTCTCATTCCTTTTTCTTCTCAGTTCTGCCTGGACATTAAGTGCTTTTGACTCCCATACCTTACCCACTCTTGCCCTCCTGCTTCCAAATGCAACTCCCTACCTCCTGTCAACTCCTGCACTCTGAACACGAAATCATACTTAGCTAGTTGCCAGATTATTTGATTAAAGCAGTAGAAGCTAGGGTGACAAACGATGCTATACTTCAGGGATATTTGCATTTTTAACATCTGGTCCTCCTGAAAGGGATCTCCAGTTGGTGAAATATACACAGGAGATAAGAATAACTGAAATGCTTTTGTTCTATATAAAAGGCTTCATATTGATCATTGAGTTTTCTGTAATCATCGTACAAGGTAAATGAACTAAGTAGTGATATCCTCTGGGTATTTTATTTTATTTTACAGCTGAACCTCAGGGATTAATCAGAAATTGTTCAGGGTTATCTGCCTAGAAAGTAACAGAGAAAGAACTTGCACTCAAGTCTTCCCATCCAATGCTCTGGCTTCTGTAAGAGCCACTACTTCCCAAGTGCCACCTTACGAGGCACGTGACAGCCGTGTGTATAGGGGACATAATGACTTTAGAAGTTGACCGCTAAGTTAGATGTAATTCAAATCCATGTGCCCTCAGGTTTGCAGCCATAAAACATCGATTACCACCTTTTTGGCTTTCCACATATTTTAAAAAGTGGATTCATTGAAGACAGAGGTGATGAATTGTGTGGCATAGAGAAGTGGGGATATTTTTTAACTGTGACTTCAGCTGTTGTCCACCTGGGGAGGGAGGTGGGGTGATGTGACAGTGGGGTAAAGCACTAGGCCACCATCGACTTTGAGGCTTTAAAAGACTGTTTAAATTACCAGATTATAAATAATTACTTAAAAACCTTCAAACAATAAAGAAGAATATGAAATAAAATATACTATCTTTCTCTTTCACTATTCTAATCCCTCTTCTTTTATTTTTGAGTGTGTAATCATCCAGACTTTTTTTTTTTCAATACCATACAAAAATTGGTGCTATAGTTTCAGCATGCCTCTTTTGCTAGGTATTACATGTGGGGGTGCTATGGTCCACTCCAAACCTCATGTTGAAATTTGATCCTAATGTTGGAGGTGAGGCTTAATAGGAAACCTTTGGGTCATGGGGGTGGGTCCTTCTTGAAAAGATTAATGCCCTCCCTCCGAGATGAGTGAGTGTTTGCTCTGTTTGTTTCTAGGAGAGCTGGCTGTTAAAAAGAGCCTGGCATCTCCCCTTTTGCTCTCTTGCTTCCTCTCCTGCCACGTGATCTCTGCACATGCTGACTTCCCTTCCCCTTCCATAGTAAGTAGAAGCAGCCTGAGGCCCTCACCTGATACAGATGCCAACACCATGCTTCTTGTACAGCCTGCAGAACACTGAGCCAAATAAACTTCTTTCCTTTATAAATTACCCAGCCTCAGGTAGGCTGTTAATTAAGTTTATATTCTGCTAGTCACGTGGAATATGTACATCTTTTTATAGAATTTTTTTTTTCTCTTTGTGAAGACACACTACTGTGAAGGTGTAGTTCCTATCCTTGTCCCAAATTTTTAAAAACTATTTGTGTTCCACTTAGTTTTTATTTAATAAGAGCTCTTTATTTTTAGGGACTTTAGCTCTTTGTTATAGATGTTGAAAAGGCTTTTTCCTAGTTTGTCTTTTAATTTTGTTTGCAGTATGTTTTTCTGCTCAGAGCTTTTTATTTTATATGTAGTCAAATCTGTTAGTTTTTTTCTTTATGGCTTCTATAAGGAAGACTTCTCCTCTGCCAGGATTATAGAAATATTATCAAATATTTTTCTTTCAGAAAGGTTTTTTGCTTTTGTTTTAGTGTATTCTTGATTTTTGTGTGACTCCAGGTAGACTTCTAATTTTGCTGTGAAGTTCCAATAGTTAACAATTAGTTTAGGAGAAAAATAAGATATAAAATTTAGTGGGAAAACCAAGTGAACTCCTAGTGATGTTTTTTCCGATCTGGAGACCCATTCAGGGAGGAATTGGTGACCCAAACTATCTATCTGGCACAGGAATCCCCTGCAGCAATTTTCCCAAGCTCTTAGAAGCTGTAAACTAGAGCATGCTCCTGTTTTAAATTCACCAAGGTGTGTTTCAGGCCCAGTTCACCAGAGTGTGATGGTTCATGAGAGAGTGAGTCAGTCATTTGAACTGGTTCCTCAGTAGATGGTGCAAGAGAACAACCCTGATGAACAAGAAGATCCTTACAAGGAGAAACATCCTGAGATGAAGAGGGTTTGTCAGAGTGCAGCAATGCCCCACATGCAGGCTGGATTTTGGAATTTATATTTAATTTAACTCACCAGTAAGCAGATTCACATGTTTCCAATGCAGAATGGGAAGCCAGCAGAAAGAATGGTAAATGTATTCAAATAATATGAGTGTCAAACTGACTTAGGGAACACACATACATACTCAGCTTGGAGGATTGCTTGTAGAAGCAATGAGGTCAGGAAAAGATGCATGTAGAAGAAATTCATCCTAAGAAAGTCTTTCTTAGAAAACAAACAGATCTTAGATTCTTAGGTTAGGAGGATGGTTGTCTGCAAGGCAGCTGAAAAGAATCACTTGTGATCTTTTTCATCTATTTTGAGATGGCTGAAAATAACTTTATATCCATGAAAGGGAACAGAAAAGGATATCAGGATATGAAGGATGTGGTCCTCCTGTGTCTGGAATTGGTGGGTTCTTGATCTCACTGACTTCAAGAATGAAGCTGCGGACCCTCGCGGTGAGTGTTACAGTTCTTAAAGGCAGTGTGTCCGGAGTTCCTTCTGATGTTTGGATGTGTTCTGAGTTTCTTCCTTCTGGTGGGTTCGTGGTCTTGCTGGCTTCAGGAGCGAAGCTGCAGACCTTCGCGGTGAGTGTTAAGCTCTTAAGGCGGTGCGTCTGGAGTTGTTCCTTCCTCCTAGTGGGTTCGTGGTCTCGCTGGCCTCAGGAGAGAAGCTGCAGACCTTCGCAGTGAGTGTTACAGCTCATACAGGCAGTGTGGACCCAAAGAGTGTGCAGCAGCAAGATTTATTGCAAAGCGCGAGAGAACAAAGCTTCCACAGTGTGGAACAGAGCTTCCACAGTGTGGAACAGGACCTGAGCTAGTTGCCACTGCTGGCTGGGTCAGCCTGCTTTTATTCCCTTATCTGGCCCCACCCACATCCTGCTGATTGGTCCATTTTACAGAGAGCTGATTGGTCTGTTTTACAGAGAGCTGATTGGTCCGTTTTGATAGGGTGCTGATTGTGCATTTACAAACCTTGAGCTAGACACAGGGTGCTGATTGGTGCATTCACAAACCTTGAGCTAGACACAGAGTGCTGACTGGTGCATTTACAATCCCTGAGCTAGACATAAAAGTTCTCCAAGTCCCCACCAGATTAGCTGGACACAGAACACTGATTGGTGTGTTCACAAACCTAGAGCTAGACACAGAGTGCTGACTGGTAAAGGTTCTCCAAGTCCCCATTAGACTCAGGAGCCCAGCTGGCTTCACCTAGTGGATCCTATACTGGGGCCACATGCAGAGCTGCCCGCCAGTCCCATGCGGTGCGCCCACGCTCCTCAGCCCTTGGGCGGTGGATGGGACCGGGCGCTGGGGAGCAGGGGGTTTGTCTCGTCTGGGAGGCTCCGGCTGCGCAGGAGCCCAGGGGGCGGAGGGGGCGGGGGGGGGGGGGCGGAGGGGGCGGGGGGGGGCGGAGGGGGCGGGGGGGGCGGGCGGGGGGAGGAGGAGGGGGAGGCTCGGGCATGGCGGGCTGCAGGTCCCGAGCCCTGCCCCGCGGGGAGGCAGCTGAGGCCCCGCGAGAATTCCAGCGCAGCGCGGGCGGGCTGGCATTGCTGGGGGACCTGGCGCACCATCCTCAGCTGCTGGCCCGGGTGCTAAGCCCCTCACTGCCCCGGGCCGGCTGTGCTGGCCAGCCGCTCCTAGTGTGGGGCCCGCGGAGCCCACACCCACCCGGAACTCCGGCTGGTCCGCGAGCACAGCGCGCAGACCCGGTTCCCGCCCGCGCCTCTCCCTCCACACCTCCCCGCAAGCAGAGGGAGCTGGCTCCGGGCCTCTGCCAGCCCAGAGAGGGGCCACCACAGCGCAGTGGCGGGCTGAAGGGCTCCTCCAGCATGGCCAGAGCAGACGCGGAGGTCGAGGCTGAGGAGGCACTGAGATCAAGCGAGGGCTGCAAGGGCTGCCAGCATGCTGTCACCTCTCACTCCCAAAGGTCAGAGGGGAGATTATTGAGGGAACCTTGGGCTTAGCCTAGTCCCTGAGCCAGGCTAGGCCTCTGTCGGGGGGAACAGCCACACATAAATGCCTGACATGTCACAAAGGGTGTTCAAAAATTTTCTCAAAAGAAATTTCCCAAGATTAAATTTTCACTAAACCAATTATAACTTAAAATCTACTGAAGAGGAACAAACCTCTTCAGTATTAATGCTTGCCTTCTCTGTCTTGAAGTATAGCTGAAGTAATTTTGTTTGGTGTCTATAGTAATGCAGGCCACTGTGAACCAGAAACCTGTGCTGTGAGTCCTTGCTCTGGGACCATAAGAGCTGATTGATTTGCCCAAGTCTTAACCTCGTTGAGCTTCAGCTTCCCCATCTGTAAAAATGAGGAATAATGCCCACTTTAAGGAGTTGCAGTGAAGAAAAAGCTAGGTAGTACATTTTAAAATTACCTGAATAACTTGGAAAACCTTGTACAGATGGCAAAGATTTTAAAACATATTAGTGCTGTAAGTGATTGGGAACCTTTTTTTTGGATTTCTTTCTGATATAGGTCAAGTTTTTCTGAGAGGAGTAAAATTTTTAACTTGACTCATTGTGCCCTGAAGCATCTGGCATTGTAAATACATTTTAAAGAAATATGACATTGGAAGAGAAATTTGAATTGCATTTTTCATATGGTAAAAGGTGGTGTGGTGAGTTTTCTAAGACAAACATCACATTGTCACTGTTTATCCCGTGTCCAGCTAACAAGGTGCTGTGCACAGAGAAAACACTAAGCAGAGACTTGCTGATCACAGAGAACTGAACTGTTCTCCAAATTTAACTGCAATACGTAGAGTTGGGGTATAAATGTCTCTGTTAGAATCTCATAGTGCTTCTGTGTTTCTTCGGCACCTGCTCAAATTAAAATACTGGAATTCCAGATTGGATATCAAAAAATCTCCCCACTCCTCATTTTGGGTAGAGGAAGGGCAGGATAGAGACAGGCATTTGTGCTTTTAGACTTGTGCCTTAAGTCCACATTGTCACCACAAAGGCCTGTGACTTCTGAATTTTTTCCAGAACTCACATTTCCAAAAGCTGAGCCTTGGAGAGCTCAATGGTAAGGAGATCTCGGCAGGCAGTTCCTGAGGAGACGCTAGTCGTTCTCCTTTCTGCATTCATACATCCATAAAAGTTGTTAAAACCTCAAGCCTGCTGAGTCCTGAGGGTTCAAGGAGTTGCTGAAAGAAAACTGCCTCTGTTAGCTAACTTGTTTTAACCTCAGCTTCTGAAAGTTGGGGGCCAACCTAAATTCTTCCTGCTACACTTCTGTTGCTGGGCGCCTATCTTTCTTTGTTTCTTGTCTGAGACAGTAAACAGAGGGTAATGGTTGCACAAGCACCAGCTCTTTTGTGATAGCCTGGGAGCTTCATGCAAGGAGTTCTGAACAGGTTGCAAAAGAGAAGCTGTTGCTGAATGCCAAAAAAAACCCCAAAACCGAAAACAAACAAAAAAACCCTCTCTCCAGTTCTAGCTTGTTAGCTTTTTCCAAACCTTTGGGAGCTTGCCTTACCAATCAATGAGTCAGAAACCTTGACAGTTTCTGCAGTAAGAAACTGTCGGGGAGGAATGAAGTTTGCACACTGGGTGATACCAGAGGAAGATTTGACCTGTGCTTAGTACACTTCAGCTTTATTTGAATGTTTTTCACAGTCATTAGAAATCAGGCAAGTTTTTAAAGTCAAACATTAAAATGACTACATTTTTAAAGTGAAGGTTGCAACACTTAGCATGAGAAGAAAGCTAACAGACAAACCCAAAAACAGTTGAAATGTAGTGGAAAGAGAACTGAAGCAAAAACATTCTCTTCCTAGAGATTGTTTAAGACCTTCAGATGCACTAAACATTGAAAGATGATAATGTGCCCATCTATGTAAGTCAAAACAAAATGAGACCTTTTTGAAATATTACAAAACTCCATGTATGTTGAAACTAAAATAGTGTGTTTCTAGATTTTATGATTGCAGAATTTGGCATTAATCCATGGAAGCTGCCCTATCCCCCTCTCTGCTTTATTCATGTCCTAACAGTTTGTCTGCCTGTTGGAGAATCTAGCAGAGCTATCTGTGTGCCCTCTGCCTTTTAACTCTGAGCAAGACATTTTCATTGTCTTGTCCTTGGCTTCCTCAGCGGTACAATGAAAGATAGTTTATACGTTAAATTTCAGGATGCTTTCAGGAACATGATTTTATAAATAGCTCTGTGAGGTTGGGGAGAAGGAGCAAAGTCAGAGAGTTTAAGTGTTTTGCCCAGGGTCCCAAGACAAACAGAAGTACAACTCAGGTCTTCATGTTCTGAGTGTAGTTCCTTCAGCTGTATTGCGTGGGTTTTGAGTTTTTAATAAACTCTAAGGGCATTGTGTTGGGTGATGGACAAAAATATGCAAATAAATGGAGTACTTTATTGCTTCATTATTATTTATTTGGGTAAATATTCATTTGAATGTTGCTATTATGCCTACAAAATGTGTAATTGTTTTATTTTTTAGAATATTAGCACTTTGGAAGGAAAGGCTTTAAATATCTGATAAACACAACAAATATTGAATAATGTGAAGTATTTTAATGAGTTCACATTGACTTTAGTTTGCAAATTATGGTAATGGAGTAAAGGAAGGGATTTCTTGTTAGGGAAATTGACAGGAGTAAAGGGTGTGTGTGTGTGTGTGTGTGTGTGTGTGTGTGTGTGTGAGAGAGAGAGAGAGAGAAACATTTACAGCTTTTCAGATGTTATTTAATGCTATACACAGTTGTTTAAATGTTAAGAAAATAAAACCTGTAATGAAATACTTTATCATGTCAGATAAAATATATAATTAGGAGGGCTGTTTGAGATAAATTTCAGCCTATCTTTAAGATGTGGTAGATCAAGAGTAATTTAACATGATTTAGCGCTGCTATTGCACAGTTAAGTATTGTCTGTGGTTGAATAGATAATGAAATGCAGTGCATATAAGGTATGTTTTATTTCTTCTTTTTTTTTTTTCAAAATGAGAGTTTCATGAAAACCTCTCTGAGGTATTAAAAGTCCTTTTCTGATCTGAATAAATATTTTCTCTTCAGGCAGGTCATATATTATAGTTTGTTTAACAAAATAAAGGCTTGTGGCAGAAGCACATGAAATGCAGATAATGGTAAAATGACACTAAACATAGCCCCTCAGGGCAGGTGTGGAGTGTTATTTTAGCAGTAAACCCCTTCTTATTAAAGTGTCTGTCATGGGTGTTTTGGAAGCAGCTGACCTTCTTTCTTACAAAGTGGCTATAAAACCACATCCTGACTTCTTTTCCTTTATCATGGACTTAGATACTCCAGAACTGAGGTACTAACCTTCTTGTCTTTGGCTTTGTGAATGTCCTAACACAATGTAGTCTAAAGTAAATGAAAAACTGAATTGGAACTCAGATTTTCTTGTTTTTTAAACGGAATTTTCTGGCCTATGTTCTTGATACCCACTCATTTAGAAAAGTTGTTGACTAAAAATAGTTTTGGCATATAATCATGGGGATTTGTAAGTGGAAAAATAATACATTAAACAGTAATACATATATAAAGTACTAAAGCTGGGATAAATTAACTTGACTAAAGGGCCATGATGTTTTCTTAAGATAGCCTTTTTCAGTTTAGGGTTCCTTATCAAATCCTTCTGCTTCTTATCTATCTACTCCCCTCAATTATATCTCACACATGTTAGCTACAAGAGCCATCATTTTCCTGAAGCAGCTCTTCCATCATGGTGCTAACCTGATCATTAAAGGAAAAAGCAGGTAGGGAGGGGGCTCCTGAAGTGCCCAAGTTTAAAGTTCATGGTCTTCATTTTGACATTTAGGGCTTGTGCTTTGTTCACCCTGTGTATGAGCTTCCTCCAGTTGAACTATACTGGGTCACTGATTCTTTCTCAGACAGTTCTTGCACTTTCCCACATCTGTGTTTTTACTTCCTCTGCTCCATCTGGATTTCGGGCCAAAAAGATTCCAGTTAATCATTAGAATTGTTTCTGTCTTCTGTGATCCACCTCAGATGAGAGCATAATAACATGGTGGGTAAGAGCCTAGGCATTGGAATTAAATACACTTAAGTTGGAATTATAGCTCTACCACATATGAATAAGAACATAAGCCAAATACCTTAATTAACCAAGCTTGTCTAACCTGCCTTATTTTGTTGTTGTTGTTCTGTTTTGTTTTGTTTTAGGCTTTTAGCAGCTTGAAGACATGGTTTTTGGGTTCTGTCTCTAGTGATAAGCAGAAGAGAGGGTTGAGGAAGGGGCTTTACTGGCCCAACCAGAAACAGAAACTAAAAACCCATGACTGTATTCTCTCCCTTGGGTACCCTTAAAACTCAGTTTTACCATCCATAAAATGGAGATAATGATACCCACCGAATTTATTGTGAGAATAAAATAAAATAATGTATTTAAGGCATACATGATCACAATATCTGGCAATTGGTAGGCACTTAGTAAGATACTATTTATTGCCTTCTATTCCATAGAGTTCCTCCATTTTCTTTCTCCTACACAGCAATTAGTCCCTGCTCTGTGTCCTCATAGCCCTTTGTTTCCTTGCTTTATAGTATTTGCTATGTTATGTTAGTATTTTCCCTCCCTTAAGTTCCTTGAAGTTGATCTCTGCTAGGTATTTCATAAATGTTGGCTGAATTAAATTGAGTTGCAGAACCAGTGTACTTAACAACAGTGGGGTTTAAGTGATCTCAGCGTTAAAAAACTAGAAATTTTAGATAATTGATGGCTCCAAGGTCAAGCCAAGAACCCAAGCACCATATTTTTATGTATAAAAACTGGACAGCAAGCTGAAAATCAGCAGAATAGAAGGCCAGATACTTATAAGTCCTACCCAAATGACTGGGGAGGAATGAAGAGGTCAAATAGCTGCCTTAGGTCATTCAACTGCTTTGCAATTCCACATGTGGAATCATGTTAATGGTATTTGGGCTTCAGCACCATTGGTCTGATCCTTTGTAAAGTTACAAATATTTATTATAATAGTGATTCCTGTGTGTTTCAGATTCTCCTTAAGTCATATTAGTAATTTAATTCTCTGACTTACCCTGGAATCATTGAAATTCTAGTATAAGAGAGTCAAGGATTCAAGTAAAGCAGCAGCTGGCCCCGGGACCTGGGACCAAGAGGGAGGTTTAGTAAGTCATCAGTGTCTGTCCAGCTGTCTCTCTGCACCTTGCCTTCTTCTCTTCTCTATACAAGTGTGTTTTCTCTCAGAATCCCCTTATTTGGTGGAGAATTTGAAGCTGCAAGTCCTGTAACATAATCAGAATTCTCCAGATTCTAGCCTTGATCAAAAACTAGAAAAACCATGGAAGTTTTTTTATAAGCTCTAATTATGTTCAAATTATCATTCTCTCTACTTCTGCCTCATAAATATACATCTTACCTTAAAAGTATTTTTTTTTTTCTCCATGAAAACAGTAGCAAGGCATTTTTGAAGGAAGGGTGGGATGTTTGGTACTCTCCTCAGTTATATCTCATACACAGGAGCTACAAAGCATTTATACTCTTCCTAAAACATCTCTTTAATCAAGGCCCTTCTTTGATTCCCCCTCCCCCCCAACAAAAGCTAAAAGGGAGAAAAACTTTTGCATTTTCTCCTCAGTTTAAATAGATTACAGTTAGTGAGAAAATTGAGGGTGAAAATTGAATTGGTAAGCAATGTAGTTAACCAGTATTCAAATATTTACATTTTGCCATGTCTTCTCATTTAAAGTGAGATCATGAAGAAGGGAGACTAATGACTTAAAGGGGGAGGTTGGGTGTGGTGGCTCACCCTGTAATCCCAGCACTTTGAGAGGCCGAGGCAGGTGGATTGCTTGAGCCCAGGAGTTTGAGATCAGCCTGGGCAACATGGCAAAACCCTGTGTCTACTAAAAATACGAAAATTAGCCAGGTGTGGTGGCATGCACCTGTGGTCCCAGCTACTCAGGAGGTGGAGGTGGGAGGACCCCTTGAGCCTGGGAGTCAAGGCTGCAGCCATCCATGATTGCACCACTGCACTCCAGCCTGGATGAAAGACTGAGACCCTGTCTCAATAAAAAGGGAGAATAACATCATTCCATTTGGTAGATCTTTAAAAGTAAGAGTAATGCATTTTTAATTTTAACAAAATTAAAATTTAATGAATTATGCCTTATGACTTGACAGGTTCCACTTCTATCAGGATCCATTTTATACCTTCTACAAAAGAGACTGATCTATTGCCTAGGGTTTTTTTTTTCTTTCTTTCTTTTTAATTTTAATCATCTATAGTGGGATTCCAGAAAATACTGTCAACAAAGAAGTGATTCTGCCCATGAGTTAGGAGGGCACACCCCACTTGCAAATAATGCCATTCATTCATTCATGTCTAGCTTATCATTCTTTCCCTGGTAGAATGTGGAAACACTACCTGGAGGAGAAAAGATAGCTGCCTCAATTATGGAAGATGCCAGTTGAAACAGCCCCAGGCCAGCATATGTGAAACCTGTTCAGAGTTTCTCTCTTCTATGGGTGAAGAGCTGACTCAGATAAGAATTGGCCCCAATTAAATTACGCTTACGTGAGGGAATGTCAGGCTGGAGGGACTGCCCTGCGTGTTCACCATTGATTATACCTGTGGAAATTCTTATCCAGAAGGGACTGGTGTCACCAGGATCTTGATGAGCTCTGCATATATTACAAAGGAGAAATGCTTACTACATTAAAAGTCTGATGATGTCGCCACAATGTTTGATGATGCCGCAGCAGGAACATTAGACATGAAACCATCTCTGTCCTCTGCTGACTTTGAGTATCTTTGGGAGTTACCTGTAGTCCATTTGTCCCCATCTTATGTGTTAGATCTATCTTCTGTTGGTCTACATGAGAAACCTAAACACTTGTTTTTGTTAAAAAAAAAAAAAAAGGAAAAATAATCCCCACCTATCTTTCCCTCCTGACTTAGACACCGAATGTATTCAAAATTCCTAAATGATTTCAAATTGAAGGTTTCACTCTTTGACTTGTTATTTAGGTTAAGTGGCTTTCTTGACAGGCAAGAGTTTTGCAATCGATTAGATGATGGACAGAAGGTGATGTATTGTAATTATTATGCATGTCCTTGGGTTTAAGTGAGGTAATTGTATGAAATTATGTAGTCAATAGCTACTCCCTCCCACTTCCATTCCAAAAATATTGTGGCTGTGCTGTAAAGCTCAGGTGTTCTGCACCTTATATAAAAAACCTTAAAAGTACCATCCCTAAAGAAGGCTTATTTAGAAACATATATATATTTTTTATTTTGAATTGTGTAAAAAAAGAAACATGTAAAATTGACCATCTTAGCCATTTTTAAGTGTACAGTTCAGTAATGTTAAGTATATGCACTTTTTTTTGCAGTTGTAGGTTAGTGGTTTTGAGGTGGCCCTAGTCTAGGATCAAGGGGACACTGTGTGTCACATCAATTATGAACATGTTATAAAAGGAAATTGAAAATGAAATTAAAATGGAATCAGTGGAGAAGGAAGAAGGAGATATATTAGGACAATCATTCCAAAATCAATCCCAAAATCAAACAGACACAACAAAGTCCAAAGTTTCAAAAACATCAGATTGGTATGCATTGACTCCTATGGATTTTTTTTTCAGACTTTCAGCCCCTTTAATTAGGTCAGAATGGCAGGCAAGGGGTGGGGAAGGTGGTGCTTCTTGAGCTCCACTCAGCAACTGGTCAGTTCTCATCCTCTGGCAACTGGATCGTGCTGGGGTTGAAGCAGTTGGATTCCATGATGGGAAGGTCTTTGGCCTCTCGGTATTTCACAAGCATCTCAGCTCTGCAGTGGGCCCACTCTCGCATCCTGTAATCGGGCAGATAGGCCACAAAGGTGCTGCCAAGGACCGGGACAATGGAGACGCCAAAGAAGAAGACAACTCACATGTTCCAGATGTCCAAAATGGGGTCCTTGTCATAGCAATGGGAGTCTGGGTTCTTCTCATAGAAGTTTTTGTCCTCAGGATCTGGGTCCTCCTGCCAATGTACGGTCAGTTCCGGGGGCTGTTTTCCCACCACAGCAGACAGGGCGACCACAGTCCTGGAGAAGCTGGATTCCCAGCGGAGGTGGGTGGCCAAGAGCCTTTGCATCACCACTGCCGCCAAAAGACTGGGAGCGCTCAAACTTAACAGCCCAACTGCCATGACAGATAGTCCTACAGGGTCTCCAACTCCTATAGACTCTATGTGGATTTTATAATACAGATGATAAAGATTTGATGCCTTTCCATGAACTGTAAAGGACAAAATTATACAAATAATTTATCTGCTTCATGTTTACTTAGTGGAGAGATCAATATTATGATGGCCTAGAACAGAACTGAATTTTTTGGCCATTTTTAATAAAACCAAATAACCAGAAGGTATTTGATTAACAAAATCAAATAATCTGAAACTATCAGATAATTTTTCTTGATGGTCTGGTAGTGAAATGTTGAATCCAAGTAAACTCGAGTAGGAGAAGTAGAGTCCTAGGCTATATGACTTTCATCTAAGATTCTGTGAGAGGATGGCAAATAAGCATGTTCTTTGGTCTTCCATTAAAACCCTTTTAAAATATAATAGTATTATAACCACTTACTTTTGGTCTGGGGCTTGGACCCTCATTTTATCGTTGCCATCCGCCAGCCTGTGTGACATATACTCAGCCCTCAGAAGCATTGTTTTACTTCCCTGGTGAGGCTGGTGCTGTAAACATCCGCTGAAGTTCCTGCCTCTTAACATCCCTGACTCTAGAAACACAAACCTTTAAGTTAGCTTAGATAACATAGCAATGATGTGTAAGATCTTGCAACCTGGTAAGAACTTATTCTGTGTTAGCTATTTGCTACACTGTTTCCCAATTCAACAAATATTTCTTTAATGCCTGGTACTTGATCTTGCAGAAATATGTGTGAGGCAAAGGGTAGTTGATGCCCGAATTTCTGGTTCAGGACATTTAGTCTAAGTAATTTTTTGCCAATTTTATCATTTGTTCTTTCTCCCAAAAACATAAAAGTAATGGAAGGATGGTATTGTTAAGCCACATAAGGCTGGGAGCTAACATTTTTCTTTTTGATCTGGAAAACAGTTTTTTTGTTTGTTTGTTTTTTGTTTTGAGATGGAATTTCCCTCTCATTGCCCAGGCTGGAGTGCAATGGTGAGATCTCAGCTCACTGCAACCTCTGCCTCCTGGGTTCAAGCCATCCTCCTGCCTCAGCCTCCTGAGTAGCTGAGATTACAGCTGCCTGCCACCACGCCCAGCTAATTTTTGTATTTTTAGTAGAGACAGGGTTTCGCCATGTTGGCCAGGCTGGTCTCGAACTCCTGACCTCAGGTGATCCATATGCCTCGGCCTCCCAAAGTGCTGGATTACAGGCGTAAGCCACCGCACTTGACGGAAAGTAGTTCTTGAAAACAATAGTATAGTCTATTGGATTATTCAAGTTCAAACCTCGAAGTACTTGTTGTACAAGCTTCTCTGTTGCTAAATTCCTTATTAATATCATTTACTCTTGTAACATTTGTTGCCAAATCATGGGCATTGAAAAGCACGTTTCTGGGCTTACATTTGTAATGGCTGAATGACATTTGTTCATAGTGGTCAAATCACTAGAGCCTCTTCTTTAGATTTTTTTTTAAAAAACGAGGAAATAGGAAAGGCATGTTAAACACAACAATAGAAATCTATTCTAAAAGAAAATTCAGATCTGAACTCCTTGGGTGGAATAGTTTGGTAAAGGTTAAACAAATTTTCCCTGACTCTTGTGGGACATTAAAATAAATTTCATCTAAATTCTTGTCAGCTTCCCTGTACAGCTGCCCTAAACATCTGCTGTGGATGCTCAAAATTGCTGCTTTCCCCATTTCACAGTTTACATATGCTGTGTAAACTATTTATTTGTATTACATAATTAGTGGCAACATGTACACTTGGTTTTTAACAACATATACTCAGGGGTGGCCTAGAAGAAAACTATCTACTTACCTACATGGAATGAGGCTTCTTAGTTTAAGGCTTATCAAAGCAATGATCCTATTTCCTTTGCAGAAGCTGTTGATATTAAGGAGAGGCATTTAAAATCTGTTTAGGTTATTGTAGCTTGGGGTAGAATTATGGGGATTGTGCTTGATTTCACAATGCGGGGCAGGATTTGACAGCCGCTGCCTCGTAAACCATGCTGCAGAGTAAAATGATTTCCTCAAAGCCATGGAAAAGTGAGGCCACTCGAAGGCCTGGGAGGCTGTGGTCTTGGTAGTCAAGCAGAGAAAATTATGCGAGCCTCTGGAGAGGTGGCCCTATGTTGACTTGAGAAGATTAGTCTTCTGGGGTCTTGATTTTGTTGGCAGAATAAATGCGTCTGTAAAGAGTGAGATACGAGTCAGGTTGGCCAAAAACTAGAGAACATTAGTCCTTGGGAACAAACGGGGATTCTAGCTGTCAAGGTGACTGATGGCCTTGCTACATGCGAACAGTTCCTGGAGAAATCTTGGTTCTACCACCAAGAGGTGATGGATCCTTAATTATCTGTTGTGGGTGGGGACCTCAGAACCCAGTCAGGTTTACATTGTAGGGATGGAAGTCATCCCAGCTCCAGTGGAAGGGAACCCAGTTTCTAACCTCAGCCATGCAGAGCTGACCTTGCATGGAACATGATCCCCAGAACCTCTCAATGGCAGCAGAAGAGCTCTATGCAGTGCCTCAGCTATGTAAAAATTCCTTTTGGGAGTTGTTTTTTTCTATTAATATATCATTGGCTCTATCCTTCCCAATATAGTTGAATTAGTTCCGCTAATCTAGGGTTTCTCAACTTCAACAGTATTGACATATTAGGCATGTAAGTTCTGTGTTTTGGGGGCTGTCCTGGGTAGGACATTTAGTAGCATCTCTGGCCTATACCCACTAGATGCCTGCAGCATCATTCTCATTGTGATAACAAAAAATGTCTGTAGAGATTGCCAAATGTCCCATGGGGGTCAAAATTGCCCCTTACTCTATGGGAAAACACTGATCTAATCCTATGTTTTCTTGGAGTTTCATAAGACATTTGTAGTTCATTAAACAACAAATATTTATTGAGCACCTACTATGTGCCCAGTAGTATGTACGTTTTGTGTGGGGTAACTGATGTCCAAAGAGAAAGTGCCTTTCTTCGTTCGGTTTATAGTCAAGTTGGAGTAACAGATATTAGTCAAATAGTCTTACTAAAATATATTTAGAATAATAGTAAGTATTGCAAATGAAATGTTCTGTGTGCTCTGAGGACACATGACAGGGGCCAGACCTAATTGTGGAGATGACATAAATCTGTCCTGAGGAATATGGAAGCTGCAGTGACTCTGTGCATGTTTTTATAATGGGAAATCAGGGCAGGGGAAGCCAGTTGAACTTGGGAAATGTGCAGACTCCTGAGGTGGGACCTGCTCTACTAGGATCAAAAAAAGGCCAGTGTCGCTGGAAAGCAGAGAGTGGTTTGAGATAAGCCAAACAGGAAGCCAGGGGCCAGGCGCGGTGGCTCAAGCCTGTAATTCCAGCACTTTGGGAGGCCAAGATGGGCGATCACGAGGTCAGGAGATCGAGACCATCCTGGCTAACACAGTGAAACCCCGTCTCTACTAAAAATACAAAAAATTAGCCAGGCGTGGTGGCGGGCCCCTGTAGTCCCAGCTACTCGGGAGGCTGAGGCAGGAGAATGGCGTGAACCTGGGAGGCAGAGCTTGCAGTGAGTGGAGATGTTGCCACTGCACTCCAGCCTGGGCAACAGAGCAAGACTCCATCTCAAAAAAAAAAAAAAAAAAAAAAAGCCAGGCTCAAATTTGGCGGAACCTTTTCAGCCACAGCCTTGTCAGTTTTGGTCTTTATTATCCTGAAAGCATGGGAAAGGCATTGAAGTGTTTCTGCAGGGCTAGGATTTGTGTAGGTTTCAGCTAAGTGGCTGGTTGGTTGTAGCAGGAGTCCTATGGAGGGGATGAGAGTGGAGATGTCAGACTGGTAAGCGGCTTAAGGCTGTAGGGTTGCTGTCATCTTTTGCACAGTCAACTGATACCTGGCCCCTTAGTTGTTCTCTCATTCACCTCATTGGCTGTGAAGTGTAATCTGCTGTGTCTCCACGGCCTTAACTGTATTTGAGCTCACTGAGTTCATATGCATTCATGTTCTGTTTGAACCGTCTGCATTGGATTGCTTTCTCACTCTGGCTTTCAGTTTCAAAAATGATACCAGGATCCCAAAGAGGGGATTGGAGGAGCAAAACAAGCTGATTGTCCTTGGTAACTTCATTTCAAGGATACAACATGTCCTAGGAAGTCACTTCATTGGCCATACCTTACCCACCCCGAGTTCTAATTCTTCCAAAGATCCACGTTGACCTGTTGTTAGGAATATTCTGTGGGTAGTCCCATGTGGTGATTGAAGGGGTGACCTTGGTCTCATTAGCACTGAGTACTAACTAATCCAGGCAATGTGGGCTTATATGCACCAGTCAATAATAAATAACTTTAATGGGGACTATGGGAGAGCTGAAGGAGCCAGATTTGCATTTTGCCTTCTTAGCTAAGACGCAGTTGTCAAAATTTGGGATGTGCAGCAGGATTTGCGGAGATCCGGAAGACTAGTTTTCTCTTAGGATGAGCTCCATCACCTGGCTTTGTCTTAGTCTCTGTGGCAGCACCTCTAGGGGGCAGCATTCTACTCAGGCCAACTCTGAAGGGCTGGGCGATGTCACATCTGGTCTATTTGTGGTTGCCTTGGGATAGTAACCCTGTCCTGGACCTAGAATGTTAGGCTGAGGTTGCTTATGCTGAAATAACTAGCTGGAGGTTCTTGGACACTTTCTTTAAGGCGTGTCTACAAAAATGTCTACAGATGTCCCGTCCCTGTAAGAAAATATGTTTTCTTAAGTGAGCATACAGGAAGAGGATCCCACTGACTCAGGATTCTGCAGCCTCGGGCTCTTTAGTGGAGATGGAGGGTAGTTGAGAGGTGTCCATGTTGACCTGTTCTTAGGAAGAAAGACTCTGTGGGTAGTCCCCTGTGGTCATTGAAGGGGTGACCTTGGTCTCATTAGCACTGAGTACTAATCCAGGCAATGTGGGCTTATATGCACCAGTCAATAATAAATAACCTTAATGGGGAATACGGGAGAGCCGAAGGAACAAGATTTGCATTTTGCCTTGTTTGCTAAGACACAGTTTTCAGTGATGGTAATATCAGGAGACAAGACTGACAAGATTTCTGGATTGTCAGCAAACTTTTGGATTGTATTCCTTGACCCACATGCAAGCTCTTTTAAATCCTTGGAATGCTTATTGCTGCCTATTTCCAGATAAGCTTCTTTTTCTCTTCCCATGCTATAATTTCTACCTCTCTGCAGTATGTTCATCCTTCTATTAATATATGTTAAGCTGTTTGGTTTCTTCTTTTCCTTTTTGAGTTCATTCAGATTGCTGCCTGAAATACTATTTTAGAGTCTCAGCCATTTCGTGATATATTGTTTCTTTATTTCTTGCATAATTATTTTCTCCCTTCTCCTCTCCTGATACTCATCTGCTCATATCCCAACCTTCATGAAGCCAGATATAGCTAATATTATCCCATTTTAGAGAGCTGAGTGTGTATCACTCTTCTCATTCAATTCATTTTAGCAAGTTTTCATTGTCTACCTACCATGGATGAACTCAGTGTTGCTGCCTTACATTCTTGGGGGACGTTTAGCCAAATAGACAAGCACTTACAAAACCACCTGCTTGAGCCTGTGTCTGCTTTGTCTAGGGCAAGAACTGGTCCCATGTGTAAACGTGGTAAGATTTGGAACTGAATTATTATTCTCTCATAAGTCCTCCACAAACTTCAGGATGTCTTATCATTTGTTACATCTTTTCTTGGCGTTTCCATTCTTTGGAAAATGGTCACGTGATGCCCCTTCACCTCAATGATGTATGGCAGCTCTACGTATGCCCAAGCCTCCCCTCCCCACCATCCACTGGCTTTCCCCTTGCCCTGCGTTACCATCTCTTTCTCAACAGGAAAGGGGTGCAACAAGGGAAGGTCCTCTATCTTCTGCTTTCGTATCTTCCGATTTTACTTTGTAGATTCTCTTTTCCTTGAAAGAGACTCACTTTTAAAGAGGAATGGCAATTGGGATGGCTAAAAAGATGTTAACTTTTGGAAATATAACAGATGGCAGGAACTTGGCAGAGCAGTAAAAATCCATTGTGTCAGACTGTAGCAATCAGAGGCTCTCCAAGCACTTTTTTTTCTGAACTACATTTTGCCCCCCGACTATTGGAATTAACACTATTTATTTGTCCCATTTGAAATGATTTGGCCCCTTTTCTCTTCCAAGCTGTTTTTCCAGAGTAAGTGCTATTACTAGAAAAGGTTTTCTTTTTTTTCTTTCTTTTTTAAAAATCGTAAGCATGAGAGAATACTAATATATTTACCCTTTGGTTTCTGTCAGCGAGGCCTACAAGAGAAAAAATGAAATCATGCATTTTTCTGGCACATTTTTTCAGACAGCCAAGCATAGGAGCAAATTATATCCTCTCCTTACTTTTTTTTTCTCTTATACCATGATGAATTTCTTTCTCCAGAGAGAGAAGTGATTTTTAAAAGGCTTGAACAACATGCTAATCTTTCCTTCTGATAGCCCCTGGTTGAATTACTCCTGAATTTGAAGCATTTACTGATGAAATGATACTTGACATTAACCAGTGTTGTATGGAAATATTTCTAGTACCTAGGGAGAAAATAAAGGAGGGTATTCGTAACACTGCCGCTGTGTGGCTGAATCTTCCATTTTTCTCAGAATCAACTTGAATTACTCTTGCTGCATGCTGACTGACTTCTTTCCTAAGAGACCACTCTTAGACAGGAAGATTTGCACCACTGGAAAAAGCTAGAATTTACAGTATTATTATGATGAAAAAGGTTGGGTTTTGGTCGTAGTCTACTTGGCTATTTGGCAGAACCAGCTGAAGGCTTTGGTTAGGGATTTTTTTTTCCCTTGTGCAGAATGACAAAGGTGATATCATATCCCTGTAAATAAAATACTCTTCTTGTTATAAAGCCATACTTAGACTTAGAGCTCAGGGTAGACAAGCAGAGTTTTCCACAGAGAGGTGAAATATGACCTTGGCTTTTGGTTTTGTATTTCAGGATATTTTTGACTTGGCTGACTACTTTTGGCCATTGACTAAGTAAAACTAGATAAGAAAAATTATGAAAATATATGGATGATTATTCAACCTTGAGAAGATTCTTCTCTTCGTGTTAGACCTTGTAGCTCACAGAACTGTGCAAATTCTCTATTTGCTTTTTTTCTAGTGGGAAAAAAGTTTAGCACAGCAAATTATGGAGCAGTTGTCTCATTCTTCAGTCGAAATGTGGGGATGTGTTTATATGACAAGTATTGGAACAGTTTCTTCAGGGATGACACTCAGCTTAGTTAACATGAGAATTTGTACCCTATGATATGGTGTAGGAGGAAGGAGAATAATGAAAGTCTTCAGAATCTTGGGATTGATTATACCTCACTTCCAAAGCTTTCCAGGCAGCTAGAGCCACAGTGTCTAGCTTAGACTCAATGTTGACCCAATTTTATTTCACAAAACACTCTTTCTTTAAGACTTTGCAGTATAGGTGTGGGGTATAGGGGGAAAGAAAGGAATTCATGATCAAATAGATTTTTGAAATTGTACATATTATATCCCTTGGGATCCCAAATTACATAGCATGATTGTGCATGTAACAAGTATTTACTGAATTCTGACTATGCACCATGGAACTTCATTTCTAATAGTAAAAGTAGACAATAGGTGCTGTAGTCCTCACTTATCCATGGTTTCACTTCCCAATGTCTCACTTATCCACTGCCAACCACTGTCCCAACATATCAAATGGAAAATTCCAAAAATAAACCATTCATAAGTTTTCAATTTCATTCCATTTTGAGTTACCTGATGAACTCTCAGTTCATCCCTCACTGTTCCTCCAACGTCCTGCTGGGATGAGAATCCTCCCTTTGTCCAGCGTGTCCATGCTGTGCATGTTTTCCGCCCCTTAGTCACTTAGTAGCCATTTTGTTATCAGATCACCAATCCTGGTATTGCAGTATTTGTGTTCAAGTCACCCTTACTGTACTTAATAATGGCCCCAAAGCTCAAGAGTAGTGATTCTGGCAATTTTAATATGCTGGAAAGAAACTGTACACTGCTTCCTTTAAGTGAAAAGGTGTAAGTTCCTGACTTTCATAAGAAAAGAAAAAAATGCTGAGATTGCTAAGACCTAGAGTAAGAGTGAATCTTCTATCCATGAAGTTGTGAAGAAGGAAGAAGAAATCTGTGCTGGTTTTGCTGTCACACCTGAAACTGCAAGAGTTACAGCCACAGTGTGTGATAAGTGCTTAGTTTAGATGGAAAAGGCATTAAGTTTGTGGGTGGAAAACATAAACGGTAACACATCCCGATTGATGGCAATCGGGTTTGGTTTCAGGCATTCACTGGGTGTCTTGAAACGTACCCCCCTCAGATAAGGCTGGGGGAGGGCACTATATCTACTGTGCTTTCATATGGAGATTAAAAAGCAGAGTAAATTTTTAGAGGTGACTCAGGATGGGAGATGAGGGAGGTTTATTTTGGAGCATATTAAAGGCTCCAGGAAGTTCTACTTTAAGAAACCTCTTTATCTTTGTTCAACTAGTGTTTCCTAAAGAGTATTTTAGTTGCCTACCTATACAGAATTAGTGTGTCATGGAACACAGTTTGGGAAATAGTGGGCTAGCTATTTCCACAGGGTCTCTATGTTTTATGATTATAATTCCTATTTGGACTGATGTTCATTTCATCTTCTCCCTGGAGCCTGCTGTAGAGTTAATGGTGTATGCTGACTAGCCCAGTCTCCCTCACCAAAAATTGATTCAATTTTTACCATTTCAAGGCTGTTTGTTAGATACTATAAGAAGAAATAAGGCCCATAACTTTTCTTCAAGGAGCTATGGTCCAATGTATACTTTAAAGATACACATAAGTAACTAATCTAAGGAAGACAGTACTATCAGAAAGGTAGGTAGAAATAAAATACAGACAATATTTAGAGCAGTGGTTCTCAAAGTGGGGTCCCAGGACCAGAATTTCTTCAGAACTTGTTAGAATTTTAAATTCTCAGGCCCCACCCCGGATCAACAGAGTCAGAAACTCTGCAGTGGTACCCCCAAATCTGAAATTTAACAAGCCTTATGATGGTTCTGATGGTCTCTAGAGTTTAAGAGTCATAGCTTTAGAAGAAGTGGTGCTCACATTTGAATGGGGAATCTCCAAAATAGCTTCATAGAATTGGTGGGTGGCATTTTATCTAAACCTTCTGAGTAAAACTTGTAGGTGCAGATGGGTAGAGACCTGCATTCCTAAAGGAGGCAAGAGCTGTCAGAGTCAAATTCACAGTGGAGATCTCAGGTCTAGTTTTAGCTTTCTAATAGGCAAGCTGTGTGACCTTGTTCAAATCACATAACCTGTCTCAATCTGTTTCCTCAATGGTTAAACTAGGGTGTTGGGGTAGATAAGCTTATGATCCCTTTGGCTATAAAACTCAGTGACTTTACATGGCTTTGGCTCAGTATTTCATTATATAATGTGAATAATGGCATAAGCTAAATTATTGTGATTCAAATACTTAGTATATTATCTTATACATTCTCTAGCTACAGTGGTTTGTATTTTAAAGAAATAACCCACATCAAACCCTTTTTCTTCTTTTCAGGCAGCCATTAGCACCAACCAGGGAGTAAAACTTTATTCCCAAGTATGTCATACGAGCAGTCTATAACTGATTTCAGGAGCAAGGACCCAGAACATAAAGTAGCGCCATGAGAATGGTAATTTGGGTGGTATCAGAATAGGCTGCTCTAGAAGATAGGGCTAAGCAGTATCTGGCTGTTCTGGGACTCATCATTGCAAGGAGAAATCTTGCTTGAACTCCCCAGGAATTAAATGCTAGCTCTAAGGAGTAGTTCCCTAACGCAGCTGTAGCTTTTGGAGTTTGAAAGTGCACACACGGGAATTGGAATCAATTACAGAGCTCTGGCAATAGCTTTTGGCCATGTCACCATGCACAGGACCTCTCTGTGGCATTGACTCTGACCCCTGGCACAAGTTTGTGATCTGTGAAAGGGTAGCTTTCATATTAGGTGTGGTCCCTCTCTGGACCCTTTATCCTTACCTCAGTTTTACTCGTTTTTTGTTTTGTATCCCTGCTTCTGAAAACCTTAATAATTATGTCAGTTAATATTCACGGAATATTTACTATGTGCCGGACACTATGTTAAGCCTTTTACCTGAGAGTGTGAACTCTTATACTCCCCATTTTAAAGATAGAGAAACTGAGATTTAATGAAGCTTTCAATATTAGCCCCAAAGTCACCCAGCCACTAGATGGCAAGTCCTGGATTCAACTCAGGTTTCTCTGACCTTTGAGGCTAACATAGTGTTCTTCCTTTGCTTTTAGTAAAGAAAGGACATTCTTTCCTTTACCTTTGATGGGTGTTTTTTTCTACTGGAAAATAAAACGTAGAGTAGGTTGTAAATTTTACTCCCTGTCTTGTGATTCCCAGATTTTGTCTTCTCTAAAATCTGCCTTTATTAATGATAATAGCTAACAATTATATACAATGTGCCATGAAGTGTTTTAAGTATTTTCCATTTATTAACTCAAATCCTATTCGGTAGGCATTATTGTTCTCATTTTATAGAAGAATAAACTGAGGTGCAGAGAGGTTCAATAGCTTGCCTGGGGTTGTAAAGCTAGTAAATGGCATAGATAGGATTCAAATGCAGGCAGTCAAGTGCCAAGGTGCATGTTCTGTAACCATTGCATGCTCTGCCTTTGTGTTGGCATTGGCTCTGGCACTGCATACACCAGAGCAGAGACTGATCTTCCATTTGCAGTTTGAACACGGGTCACCTTCCTCAAGGACTCCTGTCAAGGGGACTCTATATTGACTTTGTTCTTTGCTTTACAGCCTAACATAGCAAATTTCTTGAGTACCCTCCCGATTTGGCTAACAAAATCCCCTCAAAATAGAAAAG
Organism: Homo sapiens; assembly: GCF_000001405.40. NCBI lineage: Eukaryota > Metazoa > Chordata > Mammalia > Primates > Hominidae > Homo > Homo sapiens. The sequence continues at coordinate 119,177 of NW_013171808.1, forward strand.
ATAGGAAGAGAGGGAATGAAAATGAAATATATTTTTAAAATACCTTTGGTAGTGTTCAGAAGTCTCACCAATTTAAGCAGACCAGATTAATGTTGGCAGAAAACAGCTTTATCAGGTTACCAAAGCAAGCATAGGTACCCTACAGAGCCAAGGCTGTCCCAGAGAGGTAGTCTCTGTGATTGCTGTTCCCTGCCCCCAAGGTCTCTGGTATTTATTCATCCATGGAAAGAAAAATCTGCATGCCCTTCTGAGTCCCACAGTAAGATCCATCCTAACAGAGCAGAAGGGCAGGATGGGGAGGCACACCAGGAATGCCTCTGAAAAATAAATGTCTCAAAGATTGATGGCTTGATGATCTCTTTGGAGATTATATCAAAAATTATTGATTATGTTAGTAAGTCGTAGAAAATAGGCTCTGAGGTTGGGAACTAAGTGCTTTCTTTAAAATAATCTAGAAGCAGTAGAATAAATCAATGTGCAGAGCATCTAAAATACTGTATCATATTGGCTTCACAAATAGCTTGGCTTCAATGTGGAAAGGGCAATATTATTTTTAAAAAAAACTTCAACAGTTGTCTTGGCATGCTAAAAAGAAAAGAAGACAAAATTCAATTCTATTATTTGCTTTGCAAAATTTTACAACATTCCTAGCTTCTAGCATTCATTTATTTCCTAATCAGTGGGAAAACTGCAAGGCTTTTTAAAATAATTTGTGCCAGATAGGGCTTTTTTTTTTTCCTTTGCCACAATAAAGATACAAAAGCCTTAAAAGATATTTTGTTTTCAACAACTGAATTTGACAAACTTAGTCCTGCTCAGTTTTTTGGTGGTAGGTCTGAATTTCAGTATGTGATAATACTACTCCATTTATGCTTGTTTTGAAATATTTTCTATTTGCATTTAAGACCACCGATTCCGGTTTTTAAGAAAACAATTCCAGCAATGTATCTTGCTGAAAGAAAAACTCACTATGCAAAAGCACCAATTTTTGAATAGTTAAATTGAATGATACATTTTCATATTATGATAGCATTCTTTGCCTTGAAAGATTCACAGAAAGATTTGTAAAAAGTAACTATCCCCTTAGGGCACTTTAATGTTTATTTATAAACAGTTAACTACTTAGAGGAAGAAATAACACCAGGGAGAGTAATATGGTGTCAGAAAAGGAAGATGACTCCAAAATAATGATAAACCACAGCTCTAAAATTTTAATGTAACTTAATGAAAACTAATTCAATTGAAGCGTGTTTCAGTTTGGTATTAGCTCTGAACCTGGGAAACTTGAGTCCTGGCATTAGGGGAATCTCTTCATTTTATGGACCCTGGTTTCTTCATCTGTAAACTCAGGAGATTGGAACAGATGATCTTTAAGGCTCCTTTGAACCTGTATAATTTCTTGATTCAGTTTCCTGAAGTAAGATGTGCTTTTTGTTGGGGAATAGGAAACGGAGCATATTAAAGGCATCTGGGCCTCTGGTTACATTAGTACTTAGGGTTCTGTTCAACAAACCAGTGTTGTTTGCTTCCTGTGTGGTGGGTGCTGTACTGGATGCTGGGAATAGAGTGATGTACTTCCCATCAGGTTTCCTTAAGTAGAAGTTCAAAGTGTGAATGAGGGGGCAGACTCAGAAAAGTTCAGTTGAACTGTATTTTTCATGGGGGAAGTTTTCCTCTCTGATGACCATGGAGTCTAGACTCCTTGGGCTAAGGATCGGCAAAATTACTGTTACAGGAAGTCTTCTCAGCACAGGATAGTGAGTGGGAAATAAGGCAGAAACTTTATTTGTATTTCTCTGGAGCATTCTGGGAGTGATCCCAGTATTTCACCTTGAGAGAGTGTAACCTAACCTTCACATTCCCTTACGAGAGACTCGCTTACTTTACCGTGTTCACATGTCCACAGTGAGCCTAAAAATGTCTCCACTGCTTTGGAGCCTTTTGAGATGATGAAATAGAGACTCCTGAGGCATACAAAATACTATTAAAGCTTCTGCTAGTGTACTTCTGTGATCACTACAGAGAGGTTCTTTTGCTCCCATATTTCAGTTGACTGTGCTCTACAAAGTAGACACCCCAATCACACTGTGGGCTTCGCCACTCTGCTAGGTAGGACATTTGAACCTACTGCATCCAGAAAACCCCAAATGTATCATTTTCTTAATAAAGTTTCCTTTGAAATGACCAGCAGCCCAGTGATGTCTTTCTAGGAACTTACTGAGCAGGGTCACCAGCGGCCATCTGACTTGGTCCCTGCCCTAGTTACCAGAGCTGCTGTCCACAGGCTGCCTGTTCCACTTACTTAGCATATGCAATGTCTCTAAAGAACTGCATGTGAAATTAACTTCCTTTATAGACGCTTACTCCCTTTTTCAGCTTTTCATTTTTGCTGTCTATTAATGCCTGTAAAGTCCCTAAATTAAACTTGACTTTTTCTATCTGTAACTCCATGTTTTCTACGGGATACTTCAGCAAATGATAGCAGCAAGATATCTTACATTCCCAGGCAGAACCAGCATTTGCATGCTCAGGGTTTCACTTCAGGAGAGTCTCCTGTAAGGTGGAGCTGAAAAAAAAAAAAAAAGAAAAGCCTTGTGGGGTATGGAGAGAGCCTGAGCTCTAATCTAGAGTCTGCTAGACTCTATCAATGACTATTAAATTTAGACAGTTTCCACAGTTTCATGACTATGTGGGTTAAAAGGTAAAAACTTTTTCCTATTTTAGCCAGTAAAATTAATCAAGGAGAGGGGAGAAAGGAGGTATTCAACAAGAAAAAGTTAAGTCTATTTAGACTTAACTAATAAAGTCGAGATAGGAAAATGAGGTTTTATATTATCATTAACAAAAAGGTTATAATAATATGTGCCTTGCTAACCTTGGATATGAAAGGGTTTTATAAACCATACAATTTGTAATATTTTAATATGTTAAACTCCTGTAGGGATTTTTTTTTTTTTCAGTTTGCAGCCAATAACTAGAACTACATTAAAACCAGAGAGGAGATAACCAAAAAGATATGCTGGGGGCAGGGATGGGTTGTACTTTTTAAAATCAATGACATATGTTGACTATTTCATTAGAATTAAATTATGTCATATATGCTTCTAGGATCCTTAATTATTTCATTCTTGCTTGCAGGTAATTTTGAGAGAGTGATTGTGTGATGGGGAAAAGCATGGATTTTAGAGAAAGATTAAGGTCTGAGATCCTGCTTTACTACTTGCCGGCTGGGGAACATTGTTTGGGCAAATGTCTCAACTAAATAGATTAACTTCTCTGACCCTCAGTTTTCTAATATGTCATTGGGTAAAATAGTACCTATTACTTAGGATTATCATGAAGATTAAATACAACAAAGTGGAAAAATGACTGACACAGTGCCTACATCATTACATGCCTGCAAAGAAATTCATTTTCCATCTCCTCTCATCTTCACGTTCCCTGTAAAGGAAGAAAAGGAGAATGTCAAGGGCTTGCAGAGTATAAGACTGGATGGAAGAACTCATATTTGGGGGTTCTAAAAATCTGATCCTTTGGGTATGAATAGACTTAACTTTTTCTTGTTGAATACCTCCTTTCTCCCTTCTCCTTGATTGATTTTACTGGCTAAAATAGGAAAAAGTTTGTATCTTTTAACCCACATAGTCATGAAACTGTAGAAACTGTCCAAATTTAATAGTCATTGATGAAAGTAATTGGAAGTATCTCTTGTAATTTCTAAAGTTTTTCTTGCAAGTAATCACTCTTACCTCCCTTGTTCTGAATAGTTCTGGATATCACTCCAGTCATATAACTCCTTAGGGATTATTGTCTCTGCTTTGTAACTTGACACTTTGTTCATTCTCATGGCATTGCATTATTCATAAACCTTGATCAGTTTAAAAGTAAGCACAATAAAAGATGGTAATACCTTGAAGCATTTTAAAAAGATTATAATTATAAAAGTAATTATGTAACTATTGATGAACAATGTTCATTGAAGAAAAGTTAGAAAATGCAAATATGCCACCAAATCCCAAAACACAGTTAATCCTTTTTAAATATAAAAATTCATTTGCACATATAGGTGTTTATATAATAATAGAACTCATGCTATATATACTGTTTGATGACCTTTTTTCCTTAGCATTACATCTTACTGCATCTGAAAATGCACATCTTTTATGTCTCTATTTTTAATGACTGCATAATATTTTATTTTATGAATACACCATGAATTATTCAGTCCTCTATTGATAGGCATTTAGCATCTCTTCATTTTTTTTTTACTTTAAACTGTGCTATAACAGATAATTGTCTAAATGTTTCTATAGGATAATTACTGCAAAGGCAGTTCTAAGTCAAAGGTAAATGCACTTAAGGCTTCCAATATATCTCTAAATTGACCTTCAGAATGTAAGAAATCTTGTACCAATGAACAACGCTGTCAGTAGTATAAAAGTGTTATTTAAAACAAAGTGTCACTTGAAAACAATTCTTACAAGATTGGGCTAAATTCTAGTAATCTTAAGTTCCTTATTACCTAGTAGTGGCAAGGTTTCTAATTTTTTCTTATATTGCTGTTTTAGTAAAAAGATTTTGTGATAAAGTTTTAAAAAGCATGGCTTCCTAATAGTTATTTCCCACTCTCCCCCTTCTTCTAGGATGGTTAATTTATCTTTTCTCTCTCTCTTTCTTCCCTCCAGGATGGAAGTATGATGTGATGGATATAATTATGGGACACTGTGTGGGCACACGGCCTCCTGCTTGTTGCCTCATCCTCCTGCTTTTCAAGCTTTTGGCCACTGTCTCCCAGGGGCTGCCAGGGACTGGACCCCTGGGCTTCCACTTCACACATTCCATTTATAATGCTACCGTGTATGAGAACTCAGCAGCAAGGACCTACGTCAACAGCCAGAGTAGAATGGGCATCACCTTAATAGATCTATCCTGGGATATCAAATACAGAATAGTGTCCGGAGACGAGGAAGGCTTTTTCAAAGCAGAGGAAGTCATCATTGCAGATTTCTGTTTTCTCAGAATAAGAACTAAAGGTGGCAATTCTGCCATATTAAATAGGGAAATCCAGGATAATTATTTATTGATAGTAAAAGGTTCTGTCAGAGGAGAGGATTTGGAAGCATGGACCAAAGTGAATATACAGGTTTTAGATATGAATGATCTGAGACCTTTGTTTTCACCCACAACATACTCTGTTACCATAGCAGAAAGCACACCTCTAAGGACTAGTGTTGCCCAGGTGACTGCAACAGACGCAGATATTGGTTCCAATGGAGAATTCTACTACTACTTTAAAAATAAAGTTGATCTCTTTTCAGTTCACCCCACGAGTGGTGTCATCTCCTTAAGTGGTCGATTAAATTATGATGAAAAGAATAGGTATGATCTGGAAATTTTGGCTGTGGACCGGGGAATGAAACTGTATGGGAACAATGGAGTGAGCAGTACTGCAAAGCTTTATGTTCACATTGAGCGCATAAATGAACATGCCCCAACAATCCATGTAGTCACTCATGTTCCTTTCTCGTTGGAAAAAGAGCCAACATATGCAGTGGTGACAGTTGATGACTTAGATGATGGAGCGAATGGAGAGATCGAATCTGTTTCCATTGTGGCTGGGGATCCTTTAGATCAGTTCTTCCTGGCTAAGGAAGGAAAGTGGTTGAATGAGTACAAGATTAAGGAGAGGAAGCAGATTGACTGGGAGAGCTTTCCCTATGGCTACAATCTCACTCTTCAAGCAAAAGACAAGGGATCTCCTCAAAAATGTTCAGCATTAAAGGCAGTCTACATTGGCAACCCCACAAGAGACACTGTCCCCATTAGATTTGAAAAAGAAGTGTACGATGTGAGCATAAGTGAATTTTCCCCTCCTGGTGTCGTGGTTGCTATAGTAAAATTAAGTCCTGAACCGATAGATGTGGAATACAAATTATCTCCTGGTGAGGATGCAGTGTACTTTAAAATTAATCCTCGGTCGGGTCTGATTGTTACAGCACGGCCACTGAATACTGTTAAGAAGGAGGTTTATAAACTGGAGGTGACAAACAAGGAAGGAGATTTAAAAGCACAGGTCACCATCAGCATAGAAGATGCAAATGACCACACCCCAGAATTTCAGCAACCACTGTATGATGCTTATGTGAATGAAAGTGTCCCAGTGGGAACCAGCGTTCTAACAGTTTCAGCTTCTGATAAGGATAAAGGAGAAAATGGGTACATCACCTATAGTATCGCTAGCCTGAATTTGTTACCATTTGTCATTAATCAGTTTACAGGTGTTATTAGCACAACTGAAGAACTGGATTTTGAATCCTCCCCAGAAATTTACAGATTCATTGTTAGAGCCTCTGACTGGGGTTCACCATACCGCCATGAAAGTGAGGTCAATGTGACTATTCGAATAGGAAATGTCAACGACAACAGCCCTCTCTTTGAAAAAGTGGCTTGCCAGGGAGTTATTTCATATGACTTTCCAGTTGGTGGTCACATCACAGCAGTCTCAGCGATCGATATCGATGAACTTGAACTTGTAAAGTACAAAATCATTTCTGGAAATGAACTTGGCTTCTTTTATTTAAACCCAGATTCTGGTGTTTTACAGCTTAAAAAATCACTGACAAATTCTGGCATTAAAAATGGCAATTTTGCCCTCAGAATTACAGCAACTGATGGAGAGAATCTTGCAGACCCCATGTCTATTAACATTTCAGTCCTACATGGGAAAGTGTCTTCAAAGAGCTTCAGTTGCAGAGAAACTCGTGTGGCTCAAAAGCTGGCAGAGAAACTACTCATTAAGGCAAAAGCAAATGGGAAACTGAATCTGGAAGATGGATTTCTTGACTTTTATTCAATTAATAGACAGGGACCATATTTTGACAAGTCTTTTCCTTCTGATGTGGCTGTAAAGGAGGATCTGCCAGTTGGTGCTAACATTCTGAAGATTAAAGCCTATGATGCCGACTCTGGCTTCAATGGAAAAGTGCTATTTACAATATCAGATGGAAATACGGATAGTTGCTTTAATATTGATATGGAGACTGGGCAGCTTAAAGTCCTTATGCCCATGGATCGAGAACACACAGACCTCTATCTCCTTAATATCACCATCTATGACTTAGGTAATCCACAGAAATCGTCATGGAGACTGCTGACCATCAATGTGGAGGATGCTAATGACAATAGCCCAGTTTTTATTCAAGACAGTTACTCAGTTAACATTCTTGAAAGTTCAGGCATTGGTACTGAAATCATTCAAGTGGAAGCCAGAGACAAAGACTTAGGTTCTAATGGTGAAGTGACTTACTCAGTCTTGACAGATACACAGCAGTTTGCCATCAATAGCTCAACTGGAATCGTTTATGTAGCCGACCAGTTGGACCGGGAATCCAAAGCCAATTATTCTTTGAAAATAGAAGCCAGGGACAAGGCAGAGAGTGGTCAGCAGCTGTTTTCAGTTGTCACTCTTAAAGTTTTTTTAGATGATGTCAATGACTGCTCCCCAGCTTTCATTCCCAGTAGCTATAGTGTGAAGGTTCTTGAAGATCTCCCTGTTGGCACTGTCATTGCTTGGCTTGAGACCCATGATCCAGATCTTGGACTGGGGGGTCAAGTGCGCTATTCTTTGGTCAATGACTATAATGGGAGATTTGAAATAGATAAAGCAAGTGGTGCCATCCGCTTGAGCAAAGAGCTTGATTATGAGAAACAGCAGTTCTATAACCTTACTGTGCGGGCCAAAGACAAAGGGCGGCCTGTCTCTCTGTCATCTGTTTCCTTTGTTGAGGTGGAAGTGGTGGATGTCAATGAAAACCTCCACACTCCCTATTTCCCAGACTTTGCTGTTGTTGGATCTGTAAAGGAAAACTCACGCATTGGAACAAGCGTGCTGCAGGTGACTGCTCGAGATGAAGACTCCGGAAGGGATGGAGAGATCCAGTACTCCATCAGGGATGGCAGTGGTCTTGGAAGGTTCAGTATAGACGACGAGAGTGGTAAGTGTAATATTTTGTGCCAAGAGTGTTGTTTCACCTCTTTTAAATGGTCAACAGTGGAAAAGTAAAGGGATGTTAGGACACTAAAATAGAATGACAAATGAGGTTGCATTTGGTGCAGAGACGACGCACATAGATGCTTTTTCTTAGGATGTTCTGGTTTGTTAGAAGATCTGTTTATAAACTAACAGCTGTGGTTTCCAGTGGGAGTCCTGGTTTGTTTTGTTTTGTTATTTTCTTGCTCAGCACTATTGCTACCAGGTCATCTTTTGATAAGCCTAAGTAATTGTCACTTCTGTTGATTGTACTCCTGACCCTCTCTAAATGAAGGACTCTGATAAAGTAAATTACATTTGAATTGGCTTTAAGTTAGAAGTGTGAAATGGATTTTCAAATGGATCTTATATAGGAATCTTTCCCTTTACAGTAAGGCTTTGCAGAAGTGATATTGCATTAGTTGCTTGGTCTTTTATCTTTCATGGGTTCATCTGGTCCTTGAATGATGGGCATTTGCACTCTGTAGCTCCATTAATATAAGGAGGTGTGCTTCTACAAATGTTTTCTTAATGGAATAAATGAGTCTTGCTATGAATTTTATTTATAAAAATTGATTTTAAGAATTTATTTGTAAGGAGATATTTACAAAACATTAAAAAATATGGGGCAACATTGTTCCAGTATTTTCATCGCTTCTGACTTACTTTTTAAATTATTCATTCATAGATACAGATACAGGTTTTTTAAAATACTTGTTATTGTCGCTATTTGTCTTTAAAATGTTCATGTGCCTGGACACATGCATCTCTTTGTGTATGTGTGTGTTTCTGTTCCTTTGTTAGCACTGTGCATTTTTCTAGATTTTAGATTGTAGACATCTCAAGTGAGGGCCTGTGTCTTCCCTGTCTTGTTTAAATGGTAATATTAGCACCTTACCATTTTCAGAGCACATTTACATACATTAGATACTTGTCCACAATATTTGTAGAGTGCTTTTTTCCCCTTAGTCAGCTCAAGCTGCTATAGCAAAATACCACAGACTAGGTAGTTTAAACAACAGACATTTATTTCTCATAGTTCGGGAGGCTGGAAGTCCAAGATCAGGGCACCAGCACAGTCAAGATGAAGGCCTTCTTCTGGGCTTGCCAACTACCAACTTCTTTCCATGTCACATGGCAAAGAGAGCAGGCTTTGGTGCTTTTCTTCCCGTAAGGGCACTAATGCCATCATTAAGGCTGTACCCTCATGACCTCATCAAAACCTAACTTCCTCCCAAAGACTCTATCTCTATATAGCATCACATAGGGGGTTAGGGCTTCAGAGTATGAATTTGTAGGGGACACATACATTCAGTTCATAACAGTCCCAGTGATGATGATGATGATTAGAACAGGTGGTAGGAAGGTATCACTATAGACATACTAACTGTATATCCACAATACCAGAAAAAATGATTTAAGAAACTATATTAAATATTAGGTAGCAAGAAAGCTACATGTACCATCTCAAGTTTAAACTATAACTTTTGTATACATAGGCTCTAATTATGGCCAGTGTAAATTATAAAATTGGTCTCCGTGGCTATAGTAGATTAAAAAGTCTATATTAGGAAATTTCACCCCTGACTTTGCCACATACTGTATGTTATTATGTATTCCTTATAATTTAGTTGGAATATATTTCTGCCTTTTAAGCACAAAATGATAAAAGAGGGGAACTAGCCTTTACTGAGTGCCTACTCTGTACTAATACTTTACTACTAATAACAATGAGTTCATCGAGTACTTACAATGTGCCAGACACTGTACAGAGGGTTTTATAGACAGATCTTATTTAATTCTTCCAACAGCACCATGAGCTGGGGCTGATAATTACCAACTCATGAACTGAGGTTCAGAGAAGACATAGAATGTGGAGCCTATTTTCAAACTTAGCTTTGTGTAACTGCAGTATACCTTGCTCTCACACATCTAAAGATAAGTTGGAATTTCCCTGCATGTACCCAACTACACTGAAATTTGGTGTTGAGCTAAAATCTGTAAGTCAATAAAGTATTAAACAGGTTTCAAAATCCTTGCAACCCTGGACTTATTGACTAATGGTGCTGGTCATTGATTAACCTTCCTGTTTTCTTTATAGCCCCATTGTTTATATGGCTCTCCAGTGATGAACTTAGCTTTGAGACTCAGGTAAATGTGGATAGGTAGGTCATAGGAAAAGTATGAGCTGAATCATTCACCACTGCTATACAGATGACTACATCAAGCCATACTGAGGTTTTTTTCTTTTTTTTTTAAAATCAGGAAGTTGCATTTTGGTTTACCTGATACAGTGAAAAGTTGGAACAATTTGGTATTAGTGGCCTAGATTTTCCCACAGGTAACTTGCTACAGTGTTTCTACCTTGGGTGTTATTTAGAAAAGATACGTATCTGCATTTGCTCCATTGTATTCTGAATTATATATATATTAAAAAAACTTTTATTGGTCAGTCATGGTAGCCTATGCCTGTAATTCTAGCACTTTGGGAGGCCAAGGCAAGTGTATCTCTTGAGCTCAGGAGTCCCAGACTAGCTTGGTCAGTATGGTGGAATTCCTAAAAAAAAAAAAAAAATACAGAAAATTATCTGGGTGTGGTGGTGCACGCCTGTAGTCACAGTGACTCAGGAAGCTGAGGCAGGAAGGAGGATCACTTGAACCCAGGAGGTCAAGTCTGCAGTGAGTGGTGACCACACCACTGCACTCTAGCCTGGGTGACAGAGTGACACGCTGTCTTAAAAAAATAATAATTAAAAATAAAAATAAAAACTTTTGTCATCAATGATACTAATGCCACTTACATTTTGACATTGCTTTGTGACTTAAAAACCTCTTTCCTATAAACATTAACTCCTTTGAGTTGAAGAGTAGCTAAGTGAGTTTATAAGGTCACATAGGCTTTAAAGGATATAAGCTGTATCTTGAACCCACATCTCCTCAATCCTAATCCATTGCCCTTTCCTTTCAATTCTTTCATGTTTCTGATGTTTTTTCATAGTTTTAAAATTATAGTAGCAATGTCTTTCCTCCTTTATTATTTCATTCTGTTCCCTTCTCTTAGAAAACACAACTGGGTTTTTTCTCTGTATTACAGGAAAAAAGGTTTGGGCTTGTTGAGATTTTTTTTAAGAAGACTAGAGTGTCCATACAATCTTAACCATCTTTCTTTCTCTCCTCTCAGCACTTGTAGATTTTAGAATCTAAGCCCAAGGAGCTGATGAGGAGTGACCATCTGGATTTGTTTCCAGGTGGTGCTAACACTGAAGAGAAGTTTGGCAATTGTATGTTCAATAAGAGAAGGTGTCACCTTGGTGCCACTGAATTTTTACTACTGTTGAATGATCCATCAATTTTTTGCTTCCAAGTGCTAAAAAAAATATGGTTTGAGTTGCCAGCAGAATGAAAAGCTGTTTAGCCCTGTAGCCATTACTGAGTCTCAGGTCTAGACTCTGTTGTCTTTATTTAACCTGTGGGCATAGAATGGCCTAGACTTGCTTGGATTTAAGTCTTTTAAAACCTTTAAGTTGGCTGACAAAGATTACCCAAGTGTTTGCATTGGTTAGCAGCTCTCAAACTTAGAGTACACATGAGTCATCTACAGGGTTTGTTAACAAATGCAGATTCCCAGGCCAAATTCCCAATTATCGTCATTCAGTAGGTCTGGAGTGGGAGCCCGGGAATCTTCATTTAGGCTTTTCAAGCATTTCCTCCTCATGTGGTTTGCAAACACTACCCTAAATTTACTTGAGCTCCTCAGACAGTGGCTACCAGATTATATATATCTTTTCTGTAAAATATTTTTTCTTAGTTTTTTAAAAGGCAGATACTTGAGCTCATGTCTTAGATAAATTTCTTTTCTAGTCAAATTTTACAATTCAAATAATCTTTTATTATTTATTAGTGGTGATATTTTTCTGAATGCCTTCCGAATGGATAAAAATCTATTTCTATGCTTCAGTAATTGTAGTGCTTAATGTTTTGTGGAAGTGTGTATGCTGGGATTAGTTGATACATTTAGTAGTTTTATGTTCTTGACTTTCTTTTTTTTTATTATTATACTTTAAGTTTTAGGGTACATGTGCACATTGTGCAGGTTAGTTACATATGTATACATGTGCCATGCTGGTGCGCTGCACCCACTAACTCGTCATCTAGCCTTAGGTATATCTCCCAATGCTATCCCTCCCCGCTCCCCCCACCCCACCACAGTCCCCAGAGTGTGATATTCCCCTTCATGTGTCCATGTGATCTCATTGTTCAATTCCCACCTATGAGTGAGAATATGCGGTGTTTGGTTTTTTGTTCTTGCGATAGTTTACTGAGAATGATGATTTCCAATTTCATCCATGTCCCTACAAAGGACATGAACTCGTCATTTTTTATGGCTGCATAGTATTCCATGGTGTATATGTGCCACATTTTCTTAATCCAGTCTATCATTGTTGGACATTTGGGTTGGTTCCAAGTCTTTGCTATTGTGAATAATGCCGCAATAAACATACGTGTGCATGTGTCTTTATAGCAGCATGATTTATAGTCCTTTGGGTATATACCCAGTAATGGGATGGCTGGGTCAAATGGTATTTCTAGTTCTAGATCCCTGAGGAATCGCTACACTGACTTCCACAATGGTTGAACTAGTTTACAGTCCCACCAACAGTGTAAACCCCATCGTCTCAGCCCAAAATCTCCTTAAGCTGATAAGCAACTTCAGCAAAGTCTCAGGATACAAAATCAATGTACAAAAATCACAAGCATTCTTATACACCAGCAACAGACAAACAGAGAGCCAAATCATGAGTGAACTCCCATTCACAATTGCTTCAAAGAGAATGTTCTTGACTTTCTTAGAGCTCTGCGAATCAAACCATACCTTTGAAATTCTTTGCTATGCACAAGCATTTAATATATGTTTAATAATGTTCACAGTAAATGGATTAAATGGGGGCCTCCCCAACTATAGTGGATTTGATCACAATTTAAATCACTAGTCTGGAAGATGCAATTTAATCGTATTTTTCCTTCACAAAGAATGCATTCTTATTCTTTGACACAACAGGGATTCATATTTTTGACTACTCAGAGGTTTTACACCATTTTAGAAAGAGCACAGTATATATCTCAAAATGTAATTTTCTATAAATATTTTGGAAGGTACAAACTTGATCAATGGTTTCACCCTTTCTATTTATCTGGTTAATTAAAGAAATATTTAATTGAGATGAAAAATTTCCAATTGGCACTTTAATCATGGATAATTGGGAAGATATTTTGCCATCCTTTATTACTAATTGGATTATTTCTTCCAGTTATCAAGTACCTATTATGTGCCAGGCACTGTGCAAGGTACATTTTAGGTACTATTTGTAATTGTCACAGTAATGCAACAAGGTAGGGATCACTGAGGCTTGCCCAGACAGGGTCACACATCTGGTAGCTGTTCAGAGCTGAGATTTGAACTCTAGTGTAATGGACTCAAAATTTCATGTTATTGTCCTTCTTTTCCAGTCCAGCATGCCATCATAACCTTGTTACACATATGTATTTGTCAGATTTTTCTGGGTTATTGCTATATAACAAACAATTGTGAAACTTCACTGGCTTATGGAAATATTTTTTTCTTGCCCCAGACTCTGGGGGAACAGCTGAAACAGCACTGTGGCAGACTGGATTGACTTAGGATCTGATCCACATGTCTTTTCATTCCAGAACCCAGGCTGAAGGAGTACTCACTATCTGGGATATGATGTTCTCAAAGTGAGAGGCAGGAGCTCAAGAGGGCTGGTGCAAACTTGCAGTGCCTCTTAAAGTATCTATTCAAAACTGGCTCACTTTCCATTGGCCAAAGCAGGTCATGGGGCCAAACTCAGCACTGTGGAGCAGAAAAGAATATTCCTTGTTATGTCCTAAATGTTTGTGCACCCCTCCCCCACCCCTCATAGCTCATGTTAGAACCTAATAACAAATGTATAGTGTTAAGAGGTGGGGCTTTTGGGAAGGGATTGAATCACGAAGATTCCACCCTCGTGAATGGGATTAATGCCCTGATAAAACAGGCTCCAGCTAGCTCCCCTGCTCTTCTGCCATATGAGGACACCTAGCAGGCAGCATCTGTGAGGAGCAAGCCCTCTCCAAACACTGCTGGCACCTTGATGTTGGACTTCCCAGCTTCTAGAACTGTGAGCAATATATTTCTGTTGCTTACAAATTACCCAGTGTAAGGTTGTAAGGTTTTTTTTTTTATAGCAACTTAAACTGACTATGACACTCCTCCAACAGGGGAAAGGGAGAGAGGAGTGAATAATTACTGAACAATAGAATAGCATGACATAGCACGTGACAGCTCTCACAATTGTCTTCATAAGCTTACATTAATCGAGCACTGCCTATGTGTAAGGCACTGCACCAGGCACTAGTGACACAAACAGGCAGAAGTGTAAGAAATGGGTATCTGACAGGTCAGAATGCAGATGCAAGAGATGATGCTGGTAACAGTGGCAGCAGTGGTTAACATCTACTGAGCACCATCTGTTTGTGTGCCAAGTTCTGTGCACACTGCTTTAAACAGATGGTCTCATTCAGTCATCCCAGGAGGTATGGACAGTTATTTTCTTTTTTTTCTATATCTGGTGTTATGAGGAAAGACTCACAGGCCCGTGCCTATGCATTTACATTTACCTTTCTTTGCACTGAGGCTCTTGAAACATTTCTCCAGCATATCTGAGCACAGAATGCTCTTTATTCCAAATGTTTTGATAGACCTAGCAGAGACTTAGGAGACCTAATGTACACTTTGAATTCAGATAGACAAACCGAAAAGGTATTTGAGACACATTAATTACTGTCAAGCTAATTTCTATATATTGTGAACAGATTATTCCAATAATAAATAAGTATAACTTTATAATCGTGTTCAGAGTTGGGCTAACTCTCTCCCATTTGCCTCTCTGATCCATTCTCACTCTTCTTTCTGCTCTGTGCCCAGAGGCTTTTTGGCCAGTGGGCTCTTTTGCTGTCTGACATCTCTTGGTTCCACCAATGGGAACCTAAGAAAGAAGGAGAGCCAGGTCAGGATATTCATCCCTTTGACTCTTTCTACACTGGTTACTGTGGGCTGGATGCATCCCTCCACAGATGGGTGGAACAGTTCCTTGCTGTTACTAGCCCTAGATTACGACACTATTTTTGTTTTGTTTTGTTTTACTTCTTTAAACTCTGCCCACTCCTTTGTAAATAGTCTATTTATTAAATGTTCCTCATTACCCAGTTTGAGTGTGCCATCTGTTTTCTGCCAGGACCTTGACTGATAAAATATTTTTCTTATTTAAATATTTCTAAAACAGATTTTAAGTTTTAAAATATTTTGAATACTGATATTTTCTAGCAATCTCTACTGCAGTTTCTGTAATACTGCTTTGATGTGTTGGTACATTTCAGTACCAACAGTAGAGAGATAATAATTATCCAATGCTTTTTTAACAAGGTAAGAAAGTGAAACCAGAGGACTGTATCTTCCCATCTAACTTATGCTCTCCACATCTTTTCTACCATAAAAGAACAACTTTTGTTTTGCTAAAGAACCTGTGTCCTCAGACAGAAAAAAGAGGGGTTTGGCCGATGGTAGGGTACCAGGATCTTTCAAGCTCTCAAACATTGTGATGCTGTACTTTGATCTTCTAGAGGGAGAAGGATTTATTTCAGCTGGTGGCCAAGGAAAGAATAAAGGCAAACAATTGAGTAGCTTTTATTTATTTAGTTCAATTGAAGAACTGTTCACTAGCTGCCAGTGCTGAGTCTAATATTCTTTGTCCAAAGCCTCTAATCATCATAGTCAAGAGTGGGTGAGTGAAAACCAAGAAATGGAAGAGCTGTATTGTTTGAAAAAATGAGGAGCTCTTTGTCATTGAAGAAACCATTAGCTTCAGCCCAGATATTTAAAAGGGTGATTAATTCCTATAGTAGCATATCTCTTGCATAATGTAATATAATATAAACTTCCTTTGTCTCATATTCAGAAGCACCAGAAATCATATTTTATCTTATAGCTGGTTGTTAATCTTTCCAACTTCTTTTTCCCAAACTTGCCTGGCAACTTCTCTTTGACATGTTGAGGAATAAGACAGATGTTATTTGGTGGCTTTGGTTTAATTCATGACAAATCCAGACTAAATGGCATCCCTGTCCTCATTCTTTTTTTGAGATGATATTTTTACTCTCGCCCATCTAAATCAAAAGAGGCTTGTTGCATTTTGGCCCAGGCTTGCCCTTAAATTTTCCCCATGAGACCTGAGCAAGCAAGGGAGAGAAATGAAGTTATGATCAAGTGACAGCAGAAACTTTTCTTGGCTCTAGACTTTTTGACCATAATTATTTGAGAGAAAAAAAATAATGTTTCCC
Source organism: Homo sapiens (assembly GCF_000001405.40). NCBI lineage: Eukaryota > Metazoa > Chordata > Mammalia > Primates > Hominidae > Homo > Homo sapiens. The sequence goes on from NW_013171808.1 coordinate 135,603, forward strand.
TGAGGAGTCCTGAACACTCCACAACATTCTGATGAACTTTGTAGTTGTCATGTAAGCCAGGTGGGAGAAAGGATTAGAAGCTTCTGGAAAATAATAAACAGCATGTTTTTATTACTCTTTTCAGCAGGTGTCTTCTTCTTGACCTTTTTTTAACTGTGGGCTGAGGGCAATTTAGGTTTTAATAGAGGACTGTTGGTTCAAATCTGTAATTATGTCTTCATTGTGTATCAGGCTTGAGCTGCTATTGTCTCTGTATAACTAGTAAATGATAAAAATAATGACAGTCATAAAGAGGTAATCCAAATAGGTTGGCAAACCTACAACCTGGAAACTTGTGTGGTCTTTTCTCTGTATGCAATCTTCCTTTTATATTTAATAATAGACATTTTCAATGGCTTACCGGCCCATCAGGTCAGGGTCCTCATTTCTCCAGTGCCAAGTGATGCTGTGTTATTTTTATTTCTTCAATTATCAAACAGTGAAATTTCAGAAGCCTAGTAAGCATAGATTACCAAAACTACGAGATGATTGCTTCATATATTTGTGACTCTCCAGAAGGCAGTGGGATAAATTTATTGCCCTTCATGACTTCAGATAGCTTGCATCTCATTTCAGTCTTCTAAGAATAGTTTTCTGCTAGTGTTTTGTACGCGCATTGAAAGATACTTTTATTTATCATTACAGTTGGAAGAATTATAGAGTTTGATAAATATTTATGTGATGCCACTACATTCACAATGTTTCGTTGAAAAGAAAATGAAATGAAAATTAAAATGGGCTGTAGTCTGTATTTTTCACTTGCCAGTTTTTATGAAAGCATGTCTTATCGACAGACAGAATCTACAAAGAGTTGTGTGTAGGATTCAGTTCAATTTATATTAAATTCTGGGCATTGGTATACAAGTTATTGAATATAATAGGACTCTCAAAATTTTCCCATTGGATGTTGTAGGACTTAGTGGCTCCTCTGGGCCACTCTTTGTGATTAAATTCACAGATTTTCATTTGCATAACATAGTTAATATTCTAGTTGGTTTTAAAAAGCAGTATACTGGTGAGAATAATACTGAGTAAGATAACAGATTGAATATGAAATGTCTTGAACTGAAAGTGATTAAAAGTTGAAAGAATTAAAATAAAAGGCCAAGCACAGCAGCTCATGCCTATAATCCTAGCTCTTTGGGAGGCCAAGGCAGGAGGATTGCTTGATTCCAGGAGTTCATGACTAGCCTGGGCAACAAAGTAAGATCCCATCTCTACCAACAAAATATAAAAATAAAAAATTTAGCTGGGCATGGTGGCATGCACCTGTGGTCCCAGCTACATGGGAGGCTGAGGTGGGAGGATCACTTGTGCCTAGGAGGTTGAGGGTGCAGTGAGCCATGTTTGCATGATTGCACTCCAGCTTGGGTGACAGAGTGAGACCCTGTATGAAAAACAAACAAATAAAAAATGAATTAAGATAAAAGTTTGAGGTACACACACATACCCTAAAAGATATGGCAAATGGTAAAAAAACAGACTTTGTAGTTACCTTCAAGATGTGTAAAACAGAGTTTAAATCATTTTTATGATTTTTTCTTCCACTTGCTTCCTTAAAAGCCTGCCTCTCTTCCTTTCCTCCTTCCTTTTTCCTTTTTCTTGACCTCTACTTCTTCCTTCTCTCATTTCCACATTTATCATGCACCTGTTCTCTGTTGTTATGGAGCTTTGCACTGAAGAGGATGTATAGATGATTTTTAATTGCATATCATTCCTTTATTATACTGATCTGGAAAAAGGATTTAGTACAGTTATGCTCAAATGAACACTGGGCCTGTGTGGCAGGGCCAAGCAACTAGAATATGATTCAGAAGTCAGTCAGTGAAAGACACACTTGGACAGGACCAAGAGGCATTTCACTGCCTTGAAACAAGGTGGGGGAGAGATTCTAAAATACACAGCAGGAGGCACTCCTACCCCTCATAGGTCAAGGAGCTTATCCCATATTGGTGTGAAGAATGGCTTATTTTCTGATGACCACATGTGGGGCTATTTCAACTGCCATGAGAAACCCCAGAAAGGTTAGTGTTTTGGATTATTTATATACACTATACTTCTATAAAAGTAAATGTAACACATACACTAAAGTCAGGATTGATCTCAACCTGCTAGAGCCAGCTCTCTGGGGTGAGGGAGGAAGGAGTTGTTTGTCACATCACCATGCAGGTTGCATTCATCTTCCACTGGAGTGACTAGAGCTCCCAGGCAATGGCCTGACTCTGAAAAGCACAGGACTGGCTCTAGGAGCAGATCGGCTCTCTTGCGTCTCCTTATTGGTCATGGCTTAGCATGGTTCCTCCCCACAAGTCCTTAGTAAACAAAGCACTGGCAAAAACCCAAGTCACTACCTTTCGACTCTCTTGGACAAGGAGAGCTTTTTCTCAGCTTGGACTGAGAACCTGTGCCCTAGAAGCATTATTCTGACTAGGTTGTAAAGAGAGAGGCTACAGGAGACAAAATGGCTAAAATGAAAATGGGAGCCACTGATCCCCATCTGCAGTTACAACTTAAGATGCTTACAGATGTGGTCAGTGTGACATGTCCAGGAGGGAGGTGCACAGGGGGATGTGACAGACAGGGAGGGTGCTCCTGGGGACAGTAGCTTGCCCGCCAGCCCTCACTTCTTGGCCTTACCCTCGGCAGCCGCAGCTTCCATGGCTTTACCGATCATCCCCCAAGAACTGCATGCGCCTGATGGGCTTCAAGTCCTTGTCCAATTCATAGACAATGGGAATAACCAGTTGACAGGTTCAGCTCCATGATAGCCTCTTCAGAGACCTTCCACATGCTTGACAATGGTTGGAAGGCTGTTTCCATGGGCTGCAATCAGTACTCATTTCCCCTCCTTGATCTGGGGAGCTATTTCTTCATTCCAAAAGAGTAGAGCTCTGGTGGTAGTGTCCTTCAGATGCTCACAGGAAGGTAGCTGATCTTCAGTGAGGTCTGCATACCTGCCATCCTTACTGATGTTGCTGTAGAAAGGATGGTTGGGCTTCATTAGAGGTGGTGGGACATCACAGGTGCACCTCCAGATCTTTACCTGGGCCTCGCCATGCTTTGCAGCAGTTTCTGCTTTATTGACTCTGGTCAGACACCCATAGTGCCCTTATTGAGGTGTCAAGTCCTCATTACTGGCAGCCACATCTGATCAATAACATCTAGCACTGTCCGGACGGTCCAGATCACTCTCTTCTGCACTGAGGTGAAGCAGGTGTCAAATTCAGAGCCAGCGTCTCCCAGTGCCTGCCTGTAGCACTTTGCCTTCTCGTGGCCTGCTGGGCTCAGGTTGGCATTGTACCACCCACTGAAGCAGTTCTCCAGGTTCCACATGCTCTCTCTGTGGTGGATCAGCACCAGCTTGTAGGCAGCCATGGTGGCTGTCTGGGCATGTGGTGCCAACTGGTACAGATGATTAAATGAAGAACTGGTAGTAGAGGCTGGGCATGGTGGTGCACACCTGTAATCCCAGCACTTTGGGAGGCCAAAACAGGAAGACTGCTTGAGCCCAGGCATTCAAGATCGACCTGGGCAATATAGTGAGACCCTCTGTCTAAAAATAAATAAATTAATTAAAAAATAAATAAAATAAATAAATAAGGTGGGCATGGTGGCACACTCACCTGCAGTCCCAGCTAGTGGGGCAGGGGAGGGCTAACATGGGAAGTTCACTTAAGCCTGGGAAATTGAGGCAGCAGTGAGCTATGATCATGCCACTACAATCCAGCTTGGATGACAGAGTGAGACCTTGCCTCCAAAAAAACAACAACAAAAAAAAACTGATAGTAGAGACAGAAAAGCATGTAATCTAATTGTACACCATGTGGTACAACATAAATGAGTGTCTTCTACTGATCATTCATCATGTTCCCTGTGGCCTTAGGCCCATCCTTCGGCATTGTGGGATGAGTTTTACAAATTCCAATTGGAGACATAACAGTATGAAGGATAACTAGAGCACTGAGGTGAGTTGATAATGCTATCTAAGCAAGGGTTAATTGTCAAGGAATGCCTAATCCCAGAAATGAATCCCAGTTTTGTGGGGCTTGAAGTTCATACTATTGCGAATGCCTGCTTTGAGAAAAAGAATAAGTTAGAAGAACAAAATTGTGTTTGTTTAGAACAAGGAAAACAATCACAGCAACTTAAAAGTTTGAAAGTCAACAAATATGACAGATACCACAAAACTCAGAAGAATAACATAGTATTTTTTTAAATGTCTGACACACCTCTCTAATGTTTTTTTTCTTACATTTTTGGGTTGAAATTTTGCTTGATTGCCTTTCCCTAGGATAACAATTTTGTAATCATTGCCATAGAAAATAAGAAAGATTATTTAATTTTTCTCCAGTGTGGTTGACTGAAATTTGTGTTTTTTATTATTGAGAGTTTAGAACCATTTCTCCAAAGTCACAACTTGTTATTTTTAATGACATGCCAATTTTTAACATTGTGTAAAATTTGGAAAAACTTCTATCAAGTTTCTTTTTCATATAAACTTTTACAGATACTCTTGCTATTAATAATACTGCTGCAAGTCTGTGTTCCATAAAGAACAACAACAAAAAAACTAGTAATTTCTGTGTCTGTGAGTTTTGTCAACAAAAGAAAAAACTTACAGTGCATTTTTAACTTGTATGCTGCATCATCCAGGAGAGAACTTTCATTTTGTCTCTGTATGCAAGAACCACATCTTCTAGTGACAAGTTTACATGTCTAATCATTTGGTAGTTTTCCACAGAGTAGCTTCTGGCTCTGTTCATTTTAGCCTAATTTCTCCTCCAAAACTGCTGTAATTCTAGTGCCACCCACCTCAGGTTATATTCATATGGTGGTACCAGTTTTTGTCTTAATTCCATGCTAAAATGCTGGGTGTCTCAGTGCAATGGATAGTGGGAGTGGTTTTGGAAGCCATTTCTACACTGGAATGGCTAACAACAGTATGTTTGTGTGTATACATATATATATATATACACACATACACATATATATATACACACATATACACATATATATACACACACACATATATATATACACATATATATATACACACATATATATATACTGTTGTTAGCCATTCCAGTATGTGTGTATGTGTATATATATGTATGGAATTGAAGATGAGTCATATAAATAATCCCACTAAATGAAAACTAAATGTATCCTCAACTTAATTCTCTTTTAGACAGATCTCTATACTGGCTGCAACCACTTCACCTAATGTGATGTAAAATGTAATCAAGGGGAAAGAGAATAGAAATTTTGAACTGATGCGGTTAAAATATATTTTGCAAAATTTATAAAAATGTAGGACAATGTGAATCATTGTTAGGATCCTCCCTGGGGCTTGGAAGTGTTGGCTTTAATAGCTTCATGTTAAATCTGCATCTGCCCAGCATTACTGGTAAATGAACATTTTTCTGAAAGAAGTCTTTAATGTTATTGCAGGAAGTGTTTGAGCTGGGCCAGGCCACAAAGTCTAGTCCTGATTTTAAGGTTGATGCCAAAGAAACCTGGTTAGACCAGGTTTTAGGTTGTCACTTCTCTTGTATGTTACTGAACCAACAGACAAATGTTGCAAAGGACATAGACCAAGTTTGTATGTGAGTGGATCTGGCTCTTTGGTGTCTCTGTATCGCTGGAGGAGGTGCCCTGGAAATTCTGTAGCCAAAGCAGCCTTTGAAGAATAAGAAATCTGCAAGGTCTTGGTAGGTCAAGGCGGGCAGATCATGAGGTCAAGGCAGGCAGATCATGAGGTCAAGAGATCGAGACCATCCTGGTCAACATGGTGAAACCCATCTGTACTAAAAATACAAAAATTAGCTAGGTATGGTAGCACACGCCTGTAGTCCCAGCTACTCGGGAGGCTGAGGCAGGAGAATCGCTTGAACCTGGGAGACAAAGGTTTCAGTGAGCCGAGATTGCGCCACTGCACTCCAGCCTGGTGACAGAGCAAAACTCTGTCTCAAAACAAAAAACAAACAAAAAAAACTGCAAGTTCAATAAGTATGGAGCTTTGGTCTCACTGCTTTTTCGGAGCAGTTGGCTGTTGAAAGAATTGCATTTTTTCTTGGGCCTACTCCTTCTCATAAAATATCTTTGGGAAATCACGAGTAACAATATACCAGTATCCAGGAAGCACACTAAAAGGGCTTTTGAGAGCTGCGCTAATAACTGTCCCAGAGTTCTTTCACTCAGACTCATTCTCCATATTCTAAAAGTGTAACTTGAGGGATTTCCCTAAATTATAAGAAGTTTCAATTAATCATAATATGCACATTATTGTTGTAATTTACTATAAATAATCTAACTTATAATCTCTATATTAGTAGCGTATCTTAGAATCCATAATTTCCATCCCTGTGGGCCATTGGTTTGGTGGGATGTTTCTGATTTCATTGACTAAACCCTAGATAAAGCACCATGATTCTTAAAAAGAAACATTATTTTGAGGTTGGCTTTGAAAGGAAATTCTTTACTCGGTCTATCCAAGTATGAGATCCGAGGTTGTGAATGGGGCTGTGAAGATGGAAAGTAAGGTTAGTCTCCTTCATGCGTGTTGGTCCTCTGTCCTCATACGTATCACACATCTCTCCCCGATACTGGGTAGAGTTAGGTATTTCTTTCTTACACCTTGAGGATACTTCTAATAGAATATTTGGTTAATAAAGGAATAATGATTAAACTGAATTAGCCTTGAAATAAAAACAGTTATTAAATATTGGATAACCATTTTATACAATACTGCTTTAGATGCTAAAATATCACATGTACTCTTTCTTTCATCTGACTGCTAATTTATCCTACACTGATATTTATCCTAGAAGGTAAACCATCAGAAATGGAGTGAGTTTGAGTTTGGTTTATGGTCACTAAATTCTTGTGTTTCACAACTGAGATACTGTAGGTGCTCAAGGGTGATTATGCTAACTCAAAATTCTGTATTCTGTAGGAATACAGCATGACTCAAACATAGATAATGATACTTTAGCTCATTTAGAACTTCATAATTTGGTAAAATATGTTCAAGAACCAGGATGTAAGCAATAATGGCTATTGGGAGCTTTCTACAGAGTTTGCACTAATATACATTAACTCTGTGGTTTTCATTCAGTCCCTACTTACTTTCACTTTGCACACAATTCTAATAAGATGGATTTCCTGATATGTAATCCTATAGCATTTTAGAAATTGCGAAGTGGAGATATTGCAAAAGATGGTCATACTTACAGCAGTGGGAAATAACCCCGTAAATCAGGCAGCAGGAGAAAGAGTTCACTAACTCTCATTGTGTGTTTTTCTGTGCCAGGTGTTAAATAAGTATTGACATATTTTCTTTTCATAAGGATTCTATGGGGTATGTACTCTGATTATCCACATATTATGGATGAGAAACAAAAGCTTGATTTTAAATTTCTTGTCCAAGGTTTCACAGCTTGTGGTGGAGCTGAGATTTGAATGAGGTAGGTCAGAACTAGAATCTGAAGGCTTAATCTTGGGACTTCAGACATTTTCAGGATAAACAGCCCTAAGTACCTCCTTAGGGGCTGTAAGCCCAGGCCAGGTAGTGGCTTATGCCTATAATCCCAGCACTTTGGGAAGCGAGGCGGGTGGATCACTTGAGTCCAGGAGTTTGAGACCAGCCTTGCCAACATGGTGAAACACCATCTCTACTAAAAAATACAAAAATCAGCCGAGTGTGGTGGCGCACACCTGTAATCCCAACTACTCAGGAGACTGAGGCAGGAAAATTGCTTGAACCCTGGAGGTGGAGGTTGCAGTAAGCAGAGATCGTGCCACTGTGCTCCAGCTTGGACAACAGAGCAGGACTCTGTACACCCCTCCCTGCCCCGCAAATGGAGGCTTTAAGCCCAAAGAGCTCTCATCACTTCATTCATTCCCATGCAGCATAATAGCTAGGTGATGATTGTAATGAAGTTGGGATCATTGTCAAGGCCCAGGTTCCCTAGAAAACAGAACCTAAAGGAAAAGTTACAGTACATGCTAATGTTTTACTAATCACAGGGGAGCAAGAGTGAGGAAAAAGAAGTCATATGGGATGAAATGGAGACCACATATAAATTCGTGTGTTTTTAAGTTGGTCACAGCTTCACAACAATACTCAGCCTGTTTTCAGTTGCTCTGCCTGTCTCCAGAGAGGGCACTGAGAACCACTCTATTTTGGACCATTTACCTGGAGTTGGAAGGAAGGGTAAGCAGTTTCTCTGCTGCCTCCTGCCCATTTCTGGCCTTTTATTGGTCAAATCTGCCACATAGACCATTAAGTCACAAAACTTCTGGGAAGTACTAGTGGGAAGCTAGTACTTCTGTGGGTACCATCTGGTCAGTGTTCACATTACTATCTGTCTTTTATCAATGAGTACTGGATTGGGGGGCTTCCTTATTCTGTGGTAGGAACAGAGAGTTCTTATCAGGGAGTAGGGTGAACAGTCGATGTTTAGGTGTCTGTGGTACAGGTTGGCCTGAGCAGATCTCGGTGTTGCACAAACTGGACCTGGAAAGAGAATTGTAATGCACTTTGGAAAGATTTTTTAAATCAAAAATAGAAAATTAAAAAAACAAAACAAAGCCCATAAAATTATGATGACCATCTGACAGGCTGCTCAACTACTTGGAAAACTGAAGTGTGCAAAATGACACATTTCCCAAGGGTTCTGGTTTATCAAGGTTTTGTGATCCCTCTGTCTCTGGAACCTGGACTGCTTAGAACTACAAAGAGGAAAAGTAGCAGCACTTTGCGTTCTTTGATTGACATGGGCAAACAATTTTTTTTTTTTCTGAGACGGAATCTCACTCTGTCACCCAGGCTGGTGTGCAGTGGCGCGATCTCGGCTCACTGCAAGCTCTGCCTCCCGGGTTCATGCCATTCTCCTGCCTCAGCCTCCTGAGAAGCTGGGACTACAGGCGCCTGCCACCACGCCCGGCTAATTTTTTGTATTTTTAGTAGAGATGGGATTTCATCGTGTTAGCCAGGATGGTCTGGATCTCCTGACCTTGTGATCCGCCTGCCTCAGCCTCCCGAAGTGCTGGGATTACAGGCATGAGCCACCGTGCCCGGCCAGCAAACGATTTTTTAAAAATTACCCATCCTTTCTTGCAAGTATCCGAAGTCAGAGTGCTATTTTATGGAATGTACGTGTATGAATTCATGAGCTGGAAATTGGGAGGGAAGTAGAGGGGCTGAAGTGAAGGAGTTTGGGAATTTAATCTGCTGGACTTATTTTTCCATCGTCCTTCCTAGTCACAATCATCTTTACTTCCTCTACCTTCTCCTCTTCCTTAGCACCATCACCACTATCGTCTAGTACTTACTGAGAGCATGCTATCTGCTAGATACTCTGTAAGTTGTTTAATGTACTTGAGCTCATTCATGCCTCACATTAAACTTATGAGGTAGGTACTCTTACTGCTCCAGATTTGTGGGCATGGGAACTGAAATTTAGAGAAATGAAATAATTTGCCCAAGTCCACAGAACTACTAACAGAGCCAAGGCTATAACTCAGCCTCGTCAAAATCCATGGTTCTATCTCTTGTCCCGACCACATACTCCTCTTGGAGTAGGTATGTTTGGATCTTTTTGTGCACATTTTTGTGTCTACCTTGTGCATTCTATTTTCTCATGTGCCTTTGTTGTTAGGAGCTTAAAGGGAATATCTGTAATATTCATGTATTCATTACAATATGTATTATATATTATGCAATATATAGTATATACTGTTATAATGAACGCGTGATGAACTCCTACAGTATTCTAGGCACTGAGTTAAAAGAGTGATCCAAACAGGCAAAAATCTTTATCCTCGTAACATTCTGTATTAGGCAGGGTTTCCAGAGAGACAGAACCAGTGGAGATATGTATGCACACACACACACACACACACACACACACACACACACACACACACACACAGAGACATAGATAGATATGGATATAGATGTATGAGAGGAGATTAATTAGGGGGATTGGCTCATGTGATAATGGAGGCTAAGTTCTATGAGAGTCCATCTGTAAGCTGGAGAAGGAGGGATGCCGGTAGCATGGGTCAATTCAAGTTCAAAAGCCTCAAAACCAGGGGAGACTATGGTATAACTCTCAGTCTGTGGCCAAAGGACTCTCAGACAGAGAGAGGGAGAGAGAGAGAGAGAGAGAGAGAGAGAATTTGCTTTCCTTCTGCCTTTTTGTTCTATCTGGGTCCCTCTCTAGGTGTATGGTGCCCACCCACATTGGATGAAGATTAATCTTCCTTACTTAGCCCACTGACTCAAATGTCAGTCTCTTCCGAAACACCCTCACTAACATACCCAGAAATAATGCTTTTTCACCTATCTGGGTATCTCTTAATCCAGTCAAGTTAGCACCTAAAATTAAGCATTGTATATTCTAGTGGGGATGTTGCACTTAAAACGGTCTAACATATCACACATTATGCATGTTTTCCTTGATTATTATCAAGTGCTAAGCAGAAAAATAATGCAATTGAAGGATCAATAAATTGTACAGGTGGTGGTGGGTTCCAAGAAGGCCTCACTAGGGAGAGACAACCTCTGGATAAAGTCCTGAAGGAATTTTAGTTTTGTTACCTGGTATTTTAACTTGCAGGAAGGCAAGAAAGATGGAGAATAAGTTTGACTGATTTGCCACAAACTCTGATAACTACTCTTTGTGATTTAAAAACCCACTATGAACTGTAGGAAGAATGTAATTTGAAGTACACAATTATAAATGCAGATTTGTTAAGCATAGAAGTAGCCTGTTTAAAACTATTTAAGAGTGAATCAAAAGTCGTGGTGTAAATGGACCCCATCTCAAACTTCCCTTCACTCCATCATGCCTGTACCATAAGAGGAAAAACACTACCTCCACCCTTTACTGTTGTTAATTGTATGCATATATCCCATCTTCCTTCTGAAATTCCATTTTTCTGAATACTGTCTTACAGCAGTTTTTTTTTTTAATTGTACAATGTAACATCCTTAAACATGACTTAAAATTGAACTGAAGAGCTGCTGTGTCAGGCATGTTGTCTGAATTGCTGGACATGGAGCTATCTCCCTGGTTTAGAGGAATTCCATTCTAGTTGGGAGCATAAAACATTCACGCAGAGAAAGTGGTAGTATGCTGACCTGTTTAATAAAACATGCGCACACACACACACACCATACCTAAATTAGTAATCGTCAAATAATTAGAGTAATTTAATATATATCCTGTTAAACTTATTATATAATTGGATTTTTCTGAGACAGGGTCACCCTGTCTCTGTCTCCCAAGATGCAGGCTGGAGTGCAGTTGTGGGGTCATAGCTTACAGCAGCCTCCAACTCCTGGGCTCAAGTGATCCTCCCACCTCAGTCTCCCAAGGAGCTGGGACTACAGATGCATGCCACCACCCTCAACTAATTTATTTTTATTTTTATCTTTGTAGAGATAGGGTCTTGCCATGTTTCCCAGGCTGGTCGTGAACTCCTAGGCTCAAGCTCTCCTCCTGCCTTGGACTCCCAAATAGCTGAGATTACAAGTGTCAGCCACCACACCCAGTCTAGAATTGGATTTTGTAAAAAGTGTTTAAGGATTCTTTGGAGGCTTGAGCTCATGCCCATGGTTGACATTTGAGGAAGATGAGACTTATTTTCCCTTAGCCCCAGGGATAGTCAGTGGCACAACTGACCCTTGAACCCAGGACTTGTAAACATGGGTACTATTTTGTTCAAGGCTGTCTTGATAATTTAGCAGGTGCATTTGAGGTCTTAGGTTTTCATTTTTAGCTGTATTTATTACTGAGACATGGAGTTACTGACATGGCTGTAAGTAAGCATCACCTTTTATTAGATGCCGATGCCAGAGTTGACTTTGTTTGCACTTTATACTTATATTGTGAGATGTTTGGTGACCATCCTTTATGGTATTTTACAACTTAGTAGTTCACATTTTGTTGTTTACTGACCTAAAAAAAATCATAGCTAACATCTGAAGCAAAGATGAAAGCACATTTTCTTTTATCACACATCTCTGCTTTTACTCACAGAACTCTTTAAATTAGGTCATTAACATATGCAAACACTTCTTTTCCCAAAGTGTTTTTCTACTCTGCAATTATTATGTTGTTTTTGGTAAGATAAATAAGCCCTACATTAAAACGCCAGATATTAAAATGAGAAACAGTAGCACTTTATAAAATATTAGAAAGCTTTGAAAAACACAAATAAATAGAAAGCATCCCCTTGTGGCTTCAGGTAGTGCATGTTAAAGAGTTTGTACCCCTGTACTCTGTCTTCCTGTGGGCTGAGTACTGGGATGTGGCAAAGTCTCCCCTGGAATTGACTGGCAGACCACTTTGCTGGGGGTGGATGGGGAAAGAGAGGCTTCTGCATTCTTTTGTCCTGATCAAACCAAAGCAGTTTCTCCAGCTGTGAGGTCAAGTTTCTAGCCTTTTAGTAAAATTAAATTGTTTGCTTTGTCTGATATCAGTTCTGGTTTCAGACAGAGGGAAATAACAGTGGGAAAGCAGCCTGTGTGGGGAACGCAAGCAAATGTGCTGTGGGCTCTCAGACGAATAGTGAATCATTCTGGGGATCTCACATGCTCACTTAACATGCAGAGCTTGGTAACCAGCTTAAGATAGATGACCTGTCACTTTCAAGAACATGTCAACTGTTTGTTGCAGGGGAATATTTCCTAGTCGGTTCATGGGATTCTTAATAAAGATGTTGGAACCAGCAGTCCTGCTGTGTTTCAGCTTCTAACCAGAAGCTGAATAAAGGTCAGAAGGGTTACTGCCCCTCTCAAATGGATCCCAGAATCCCTCACTTTGGATAGTGGTTGTGGTTTTATCTGCTTTGGTGTTTGTTGTTATTATTTTCTGTCTTCTTAGTGCTTCTGAGTTGCTCAGATTTGGCAAATTTTGAATAGACATATATATGAACCCCAAATAATTGTACTGAGAAATGCAGAAAATATTGAGCAAGACGCTGCTGAATTTCCATGAGTAAGCAAATATATTCTAAGAGCTCACAGGTGAAAATTTCTTTTTATTTAATATGTCATTTTTATTGGAAGGTAATGATTATGTCCAGGCCATAAATACAGTGTAAATTCTCTTCAATAGACATTAAAAAGATGACTTTCAATTGGAAGCAGCTTTTTAAAGGGCTTAAAGGATACTGAGGTATAAATTTTCAGACCTGTACAGTCTGTACGTGTAAGACTAGGAAGAAATGAGTGAAACCCAATACAGGCTCATGCATGGGAACACATGTTTATGACCATAAGCTGTAGTTTCACAAAACATGTTGAAGAAGGACATATAATGGACGTATAATGGCTAAGAGTTTTAAATGTATTGTTGTGTGTGTTAGTTTATAGTTATAATAAAAATATCCAATGGGTTATCAGCCCTATCATCATTTTTCAAATGAGGATACTGAGGTGTGGGATAATTTCTTAAAAATAGAGCTGTGCTTCACAAATACCCAGGAAATAAACACTTGTTCAGTCACTAAGTTCTGACTCCATGTTGTGTATTTTGTCTGTATTAAGATTCTGTTCAGCTGCCCAGATAAAAAGTGATAAAAGTTTTCTAGCTGATATTCCTACTATAAGATATCTTACTGTCTGTTTCCAACTAGCTCTGAAGGGTCAGCTAGTTTTATTAGAATTATTGAGCATGCCCAGGATGTGGTTGTATAGGCTCAGCTTAAATTTACATCAATTGGCAATACTTTCTCTTGGTTCAGGATCAGCTGTATATTCCTCTCATTCCTTATTTCTGCCTGATTGTAGGCTCCTTGAAGGCAGGATTTATTTCTGATGCACTATTGGGTCCTGTGTCTGGCTCAGTCAGAACCTGGCATATGATCACTGCTCAGTAGGTATTTTTGGAAGGAAAGGAAAAGAAAGAAGGGCTAGCTATGTAGATGCAACAGCAGCTCAGTGTCTATCTCTGATTCCTTTCCAAAGGTTAAATTAGATGAGGAAGACACGTTTTCTGGGCATCAGCTTTACCTCCGAGTACATGGGGGATCTGTTCCAGTATCTTTGTTCTTTTGTGGTTCAAAGCTTTGAATAATGTATGTTTTGATGAACAAAATGGACACTGTGGCTCTATGAAGAACTTAACTACAAATACTGCAGTTTGTGTCATTTTTTTCAGCCATTTAAGGTGGTGTCAAAAATTACAGTAGCTTACATTTTAAAAAATATTTGACTTTTAAATAATGTTCACTGTGTCATTGACCCTAGGAAGGATTTTAGCTTACATTTATGGCTTCTTACTGCTACTGCAATAGAGCCAACAACCACAGATCTGCCCATCACTTTCTTATAAATGTGGTTATTTCAGATTTCCAGTGTGTTCTGGTCACCTGGCTTGCTCTTCTCTTAAAATGTGTTTAATGCTCTCTTGGCCAGTGGTTAGGCTCATACTTCTTATATTTCTATTATCCAGGAGACTTTATCATCGAGATAGTTATAATCTTTCTTCTATTTTTCATTAAGGTCTTATAAGCCTATTATTGGTGCTGAAGCTCACCAAGACCTCCATACCCTTGCCTCTCTTCAGCAGGTGCTATCTCTTATACCCCAGTTGGAAATGTAGGTTCATTTCAGACAGCAGTTTTCACATAAGGCATTATATACTATTTTAACTATATCAAGGGCCTTGATTTTCACCATCCTCTTAAAGATTTTTAAAAATATCTTCATTCTGAAGTCTCCGAATTTTTATTTTATATGCATTGACTTCTTCTGTTATTTCCTTGCAAAAATACTTTGGTGTTTGTCTTAGTCCATTGGGATTGCTATAACAGAATACCATAAGCTGAGCAGCTTATAAATAACAGAAATGTATTTCTCACATTACTAGAGGCTTGGAAGTCTAAGTGCAAGGAGCCGACAGATTCAGTGTCTGGTGAGGACCTGCTTTCTGGTTCATGGATGGTGCTTTCTGGTTATGTTTTTACATGGTGGAAGGGATGAAGCATTTTTCTCAGGTTGCTTTTATAAGGGCACTAATCCCATTACTGAGGACTGCTGCCCTGTGATCTAATCACTTTCCAAAGGCCCTACTTCCTAATATTATCACCTTGGGGGTTACGAATTCAACATAGGAAATTTGGGTGCACAAAACGTTCAGACAATAGCAGTGTTTTTCCCATTTAGATCTTTGGCCTTGTCATCATACCCCCTGCCACTCCTCTCTCCATATGCTTTCTGTAAGAAACACTTTTCCAACCTCTTTAAAAATATTCTGTTTTCCTCCTTCAGCTTGGAAAACCAAGTTTTAAGCTTGTTCCACAAGTGATTTTGTGCTTTATAATAAGTGAGTTATTTTACATATAGCACAAAGCACATTGCCTAGATTCTTATATATTTATTTCACTTTTCTCGATCCAAAATACATTCATAAATTTGAACCACAAAAGCATTAAAGTGTCAAACATTTCTGTATTTGCCAAGCCATAGCTTTGTTTCTCTTCTGGAAGGTAGCAGAAGTTACTTTTGATGGAGTTATCTTTTTTGACTGGACCAGGAAAAAGGCCCCCATGATGATGAGCAGGAAAGCATCTTTTCTATCTATACCAGGCAGTTCTAAGGTAAGCCAGACCAAAGCAGATGATTCTGTCCCTGCCTCCACCAAAATCACTGTTGGATTGTAGATGAGAAGACAAAATGACTTAAACCTTGGACTGGGACAATTCATTTTCTGACAGCTGGAGGCTCTTATGAACAAGTGAGACCAATATTTGTGGGTTATCTTGGATTTGGCGTACTCATCTCTTCACAGTCAGGAGCAGTCTTCAGAGATGTGATCAAAAACATCATTAAGTACTAGGGTGAAAAATCCATCTTTTTACATTTGGGTTTGAACTTTATGTTTGTCACTGTTTCAGAATTGCTGAAATTACTAGAACAGGGTCTTTGGAGTGGAAGAATTTTGGTTTCTTCATTCTATCCAAATAAGTACAGAAGAAGGTCAACAAGGAATCAGGCCATAGTCTGGAAGACTGATATCCCAGAGTGGCTGTGAGGTAGATGAGGTAAAAAATCAACCTAAAGGGACTGGTTAGGTTCTGAGCTGGAAGAATGTTTGGAGGAAGTAACCGTGAGAGACAGGATGGATAGTTCTCTTGCTTGATGATGTCGTTGAGTCAGAATGCCATCATGCAAACTGATTCGTGTGTGTGTGTGTGTGTGTGTGTGTGTGTGTGTGTGTTCAATGAAGGATAATTGATGTTACGTTTTATAACAGGGATTTTGTGTGAGGAAGGTTAAATTTGAAAACGAATGCGAATGTACTCACCACATGACTGAGTGTCTCCCACCTTCAAGATTCCCATTTGCAGTTGACCTTTGACATTCCTTGTGCCTCTTGCTAATGCTTGGAGTGAACACTTTGGACCTCGTATGTGAAATTCCACTTGCTCTGTGGTTCTCAGTGCTTTGTGGTCTTTAATCAGTTCTGTATGCCTGCCCTGTCTTCCTCTTCCAAGACAACAAGACTTGGCTGTCAGCTTGATCTGTCCATTGTAGTTTATACAGATGTTTCTTTTGTTTTTGTTTGAACGCCCTCAAAGAAACCATGTTGACTGTGCTCCATCACATGAGGCGGTGCCCATGTGTCCTTCATAGTAACACTGTGAGGCATAATTATCCACACTTCAGAGATAATACACAGCCAACACAATTTAGCTTGCTTTATAGAGCTGAGGCAAATCATTTCCCCTCACCCTCAGGCCAGCTCTCTAGTGAGAGATTACCTCTTGGTGACACTTCAGTCTTTGGTTTAGCAGCTAGAATTCTTTTATAGTTTGGGAAGGATATGGGATCACATTTCTATGAGTGGGTGCTGGAATATAGACTCCCATTTTTCACCCTTATACCCTCAGTTAACTTCTCTATGTGAGTGAGCTTCTGATGGGATAAAGTCTTTGGAGAAACCTTAGAATTCTGGTTTTGTTTTTGTTCTATTAAGGTCAAACTCACATAGTATAAAATTCCCCATTTTAAAGTGTACCTTTCAGTGGCATTTATTACATTCACAGTGTTGTACAACTACTACCTCTATTTAGTTCCAAAACATTTTCATCACCCTACCATCACCCATACCCATTAAACTATCACTCCTCATTCTGCCTCCCCTCATTCCCTGGCAATGACCAGTCTGTTTCCTCTCTTTTGTTTTTGTTTTTATAAGAATAGATTATAGCCATATTAAGAATGAGATGCAACTTGACTCATTTATCCAATGACTCATTTATCCAGATGTTAAAAGAGAAAGTAAGAACTTAGGCACTGGAACTTCTTTTATATTCTTATATATCTAGGAGTTGGGCCAGGTGCAGTGGCTCACGCCTGTAATCCCAGCGTTTAGGGAGGCCGAGGCAGGTGGATCACTTGAGGTCGGTCAGGAGTTTGAGTCTAGCCTAGCCAACATGGTGAAACCCTGTCTCTCCTAAAATACAAAAATTAGCTGGGTATGGTGGCATATACCTGTACTCCTAGCTACTTGGGAGGCTGAGGCATGAGAATTGCTCGAACATGGGAGGCGGAGGTTGCAATGAGCCAAGATCACGCCATTGCACTCTAGCCTGGGTGACAAGAGTGAAATCTTTTTTCACCACTTTTTTTTCACCACTCCTTCCATGTGGTGGGTGCATTCACATTTGTTTTCAAATTTAGCCTGTTGTAAAACGTAACATTAATTATCCTTCCTTCCGAAACACCTTTGATCTGACTTTTAAGAAATAAATAGATATATTTTTGTTTAAGCAGGTATATAGGTAGTTAAAATATAATTATTCAATTAACTTTTTCATTTTAAAATTTGGGATTTTTTGGTGAATTATATTAACAGTCCAGGAAAAATGAAAAAATTATTAATTACTATCCTATTTTAAGTACTTCCTTTTTTTCTTAAAGGGAAATATTTTTGAAATGTTGATTGAATATTTATGAGACGATGAGTGTACCAGGTGTTAAAAAGAAAATGAAGGAAATATGAGATGTCTTTTTCTCAAACATTGGTGGGTAGTTTTTGTCCTTTCAGCAGGATTTTTGCTTCAAGAGTTTTTGTTGGTTCTTCATTGCTGCATTAAAGTTACTTTCAGAGGGCTAAATCTCATAAAATGCCAGGATATCAAGGAGAAAATTGAACTCTGGCTCAAATCAATTGCATATTATGTTAGGAGAGAGAGACCTCATGAAAATGCTTCATGTTAAGGGGCAGGAGCTGGATTTTCCTTTGATTCCGGATTTTAATATCAACTGTCAGTATTTAATAGTAAAAAGACATGGCTTCACATGTATTTTTAATTTCCTCAAATTTGAAAGTTGCGTGAGTCTTAAACTGGCCCTTAGAAGTGGATTTCAGAATTGGTGTTTAAAATATAAAATTCACAGAAACTCCTAGTGGGGGGTCAGCTGGAGTGTCATTTTCAGGAATAAGCAATATCTATATTGTTTTTTGTTCAATATTTTGTACAGTTTTCATTTGGTAAATCTGGTTGTTATTAAAGTGACAAAGCTAATGGAATCACCTGCTGAGGCGCTGTCTCCCAGGAAGGCACCTCTAACAAAACCTTTCCTTTCCTGACGGGAGATCATTATGAGATCCTGCCTCGTAAGAGGGACCCCTAAAGGTAGATCTGGAACATTCCTCCATCCTACCTGAGTGTCACTTGGCTTTAATCCTTCTGCCACCATCTAGATACCCATCAGCCTCCAGCTTGGATTCCTTTCAAAAGATACTTAGAAAAAAAAGAAACAACTTTCAGGTTTTGCTAATCTTGAGATATCTACAGTTCTATGACTTTTTCCATGTGTGTATAGAGAAGGATGTGATTGTGTTCCAGTTCAATCTGTCTTAAAGAGTGGTCCGCATGGAGTCAGCAGGTATGGGTAGGCCAGGCTTCTGCCTTTTTAAAATTTTTATTTTCTTCAAATTTTATTTTAAGTTCATGGGTACATGTGTGGGATGTGCAGGTTTGTTACATAGGTAAATGTGTGCCATGGTGGTTTGCTGCACAGATCATTCCATGACCTAAGTATTAAGCTCAGCATCCATTCGCTATTCTTCCCGATGCTCTCCCTACCCCCAGCCCCTGCCTACAAGCCTCAGTGTGTGTCGTTCCCCACCATGTGTCCATGTGTTCTCATTGTTCACCTCCTGCTTATAAGTGAGAATATGCAGTGTTTGGTTTTTTGTTCCTGCATTAGTTTGCTAAGGATAATGGCTTCTAACTCCATTGATGTCCCTGCACAGGACATGATCTCGTTCCATTTTATGGCTGCATGGGATTCCATGGTATATATGTACCACATTTTCTTTATCCAGTCTGTCACTGATGGACGTTTAGGTTGAATCTATGTCCTTGCTATTGTGAATACTGCTGCAATGAACATACATGTGTGTGTATCTTTATAATAGAATGAATTATACTCCTTTGGGTATATACCCAGTAATGGGACTGCTGGGTCAGGCACCAGCATTCCAGATGATTCTAATGTAGGTGATGTGCAGACCACAGTTTAAGAACCACTGTTCTAGCCCCTGAAATCATTTTGGGCCTGATTTTGTCCCACAGTGTATTTGTTTTCCCTCCCAGTTTTGAAGCATGTGAACATTTGGCTAGAAGGCCATGACCTAATCCCAGCCATTAGGAAAAATGTTGATGGATACAAGAGTGAATCAGAGCCCTGAGGCAAGCCACTGGAGACTTCTCTCCAAGTTGACACTCTGCCTTATGAATACTGAAATTCAATCCGTTTTAAACCCCTTTCTTTGGCTTGTCATTTGGCCCACATTTTTCCTGTCTTATCCTCCAGGATCTCATGAGAGATTTTGTCAAATGCCTTGCTGACATCCAGATATGCCAGATTTGCAGAATTACCCTGATGTACCAGTTCAGCAAACACATTTCATTTTTTTTAAAAGGAAAGAATTAAAAAGAGTGAGAGAGAGAGAAAGGAAAATAAAATTTAAAAAGGAAAAGAAAAATGAGATTTAATTTGGTGTGATATTCCTTTTCCTGCTAATCCAAAGATATAAATTTGAACCCACAATTTTTTTTTTGGTTATTTCATCTGGAATCCTGAGATTATAGGATATATTTCACAGTAGTCTCTAAAGCTCAGCAAAGAAATCCATGTGGATTTTCCAGGGAGGTTTCCCCTCCCCAAAGGAACATGTGCAGACTTAAGTGTGGTAAGTCATTAATACTAGCCTCCTTCTTTGTGTGATGGGAAGCGGGTGGTCATTCACCCTCAAGCAGTGATTTTTTTTGGGAGCAGTGCAGAGAGGGGCATTTCCCTGTATAAATCTGAAGGCTTCAAAGTGGTCACTTCATACCATCTCATTTTGAGTCAGACCACCCTCACTACTGCTAAGAAGCCTTAATAAGTGTGTCTGTTCTTCTTGTGTATTGGAGAGGAAACAGGTAGAGAGTTGTTACCCTAAAGAGAAGGGAAAATTCTTTGAGCACATTTGAATGACAAAATTATATTTCTCATCGAGTTTCTTTTTAGAAAAAGGGAAGAAAATAGATGTGTCTTGGAATTCTGTCCATGAGACCACAGAAAAGAACTTTGACTCATAACTTCTTTAAGCAAATTCCTCCCCCAGCCCTTTGCCCCATGATGTGTTGATTCATTGTGAAAATCTAAAGCAAACCAAATTTCAGCACATACAGAAGCCAGAGTAGTCAGCATCAGGGAGATCATGCACTGCTATCATCCCTGGAAGACTGATGTTTCAAAGGCTCAGCTAATGTGCTTCCTGATGTACGGGTTAAAAAAGTGGGAGAAGCAAATTAATTACATTCAAAAGGAATTTAAAGGAGACTAATCAGTGCAGTGGAAGAGACCAGGAGCTGTTTACAGATGTGCCAAGATGTAGAGAAATCAGTATTGGCTTTGTCTGGAAGAAGGAGTGGGGCTCCTCTTCTCTAGCTAATTAAAGCAAGCTTATCTGTAAATTTAGTTATTCATAAAGCTTGCTTCCACGGAGCTGCTGTTTTTCTAATAGGATGGGAAGGCTGGGTTTCTGTAAATGTGGGTCAGTCATGTGATTAAGTGACCCAGATTTCCGCAGACAACCAAAAGAAAGAGCAGAGAGAGGATGTGCCAGCTCCTGACTGCACAGCACAGCATGGGCACACCTAATGCCTCCTCCCTATGCTAAAGGCAGAGATTGAATGTGAATGTTTTCACTTGAAAATTGCATCATAGTATTACTCCTATAAGAAAGCAGCACCAAGCATCAGCTCTTTCTATTTCTTTTCAATTACTTCTCTTTCTACAGTCAGGAAGAGACCTTTTAAGCATTTAAATTACGGTACATCTTTAAATGCTGTAGCTATGTTTGAGTTATCTGGCATCCCAGGAAATGGGCTGGTGTTTCCAAGTGTCCGTAGGTAGAGAGTCTAGAAGTGGACTCATGCTGATTTTATTTCATTTTTGAGACAGAGTCTTATTTTATTTTATTTATTTTTGAGACAGAATCTTGCTCTGTTGCCCAGGCTGGGGTGCAGTGTCACAATCTTGGCTCACTGCAGTCTCTGCCTCCTGGGTTCTAGCGATTCTCGTGCCTCAGCCTCCCAAGTAGCTGGGATTACAGGCGTGTACCACCACACCCAGCTAATTTTTATATTTTCAGAAGAGATGGAGTTTTGCCATGTTTGCCAGGCTGGTCTTGAACTCCTGGCCTGAGGTGATCCACCTGCCTCGGCCTACCAAAGTGCTGGGATTATAGACATCAGCCACTGCGCTTGGCTACCTCTTGCTGATTTTAGACACCTCATCTCATCAGCATTTTCTTATCTGTTTTTACATTTTCATTATAATGTAGCAACTATTTTCATTGCATGGTCAGCCAGTTTTTTACCTCTTATAAATTATATTCAAGATTACATGGTTTACTGGAGGAAAAGTAGAAAACATGAATATGCAAAACACAAAAGAAAATAAAATTGGTCAGGTGCAGTGGCTCAGCCTGTAATCCCAGCACTTTGAGAGGCCAAGGTGGGCGGATCACTTGAGTCCAGGAGTTCAAGACCAGCCTGGGCAACGCGGTGACACCCCTTCTCTACTAAAAATACAAAACCATTAGCTAGGCATGGTGGTATGTGCCTGTAGTCCCAGCTACTCAGGAAGCTGAGGTGGAAGGATCGCTTGAGCCTGGGAATTTGAGGCTGCAGTGAGTGCCACTGCACTCCAGCCTATGCTGGAAAGAAAGAAAGAAAGGAAAGAAGTTAAAAGTGAGAAAATAAACTCATCCTTTCTACCACCACTCAGAAATAACCATTCTTATTATTTTGGGTCAACAACCAAGAGGCAGTTTTGTTATCTAGCTTGAAATCACAGCTCTGTCACTGTTCAGCTATGGGATTTGGGCAAATTACTTGATCTCTTTGTATTTCAGTTGCCTTGCTGATAAAATATGGACACCTACCTCAAGAAAATGCCTAGGAACATATACAAGACTTCAAACATAGTGAACATTCAATAAACGATTGTTGAAAAAGACATTGAATGAATGCATACATGAAACGTTTCCCATGTAGTATAAAGTTGTTCATGTATCTGGTCCCTAGTTCATTGCCTACTGCAATCATAAAAGCATAAAGGAACTTCACCCAGTGCGTGAGCAATAAGTACATTATAAATGTTAGTTATTATTATTGCCTGACACATCATTAATATTCATTAGATAGTTGTTGAATGAATGGATGTCAGTCACTGCCCTTGGGTAGTTTAAACTTGAGAGAAGACAAGAGAAGATTCATGAAACAATAAATACGTGGTGAGCCATTTGGTACTCAGTTTGAGGGGAGAGCTCCCCAGGGGCTGTTTTATTTGGGGATTTCCTTGGAATGTTCAGCTGATTAAACTGCTCCCATTACAGCTTGAGTGACACTGGGTAACAGATCTGGGACCGGATCCTACATCATCCCACCACGTAAGTGGACTATATCATGCCTTCATTCATTCATCTTTTCCCATTCCTTTTCAACAATGCTTACTGAGTGGCAGGAGCTGTGTGGGATTCTAGACAGCCAAAGACGTTTGCTGTTGCCACCGTCTTGTTAGGAGATCTGTGGCTCAGAGGGGATTCATAATGTACTGTGATAAATGCTATGAGCCAGCAATGCCCAAGGATTATGGGAGCTAGTGTGTGTGTGTGTGTGTGTGTGTGTGTGTGTGTGTGTGTGTGTGTGTAACAGAGGGAAGGAACGTCAGAGCGTCCTTTCCACAAGGAGGTCCAGTTGGAACCAGGTCCAAATAGAGAAATAGGTATTATTCTAAACCAGGAACACAAGAGTAGCATTTGCAAAGATTAGGCAGAGTGAGAGAACTGGGAGGTGCATACAGCATGGCTAGAGCTCTGAGCTGCAGAGAGGCACGAAGGTTCTTTCTTTTAGTGGTGAGTGGGAGTGGTTACATTAAATGGTTTTAAAGCTGGGAGTGACAAGATCAAATCTGCATTTTGGAAAACTAGCCAAAATCTGTGTGTGTTGCAGGGTGAAGGAAAAGGTGGTGGGATAGACTGGGGCCAGGAACACTAGTTGTTGGAAACCAGAAAGAAGGGACTGAAGTAAGGGTAGGGGAGAAGGGATGAATTGAAGCACCCAACTCAAGATATTAGGGAGGGACAGTTCACAGAATTTGTTAACCAGTGGTTGTGTCTGTGTCTGTGTGGCTGGATGTAGGGGTAAGTGACTAAGAAGGAATTAATGATGCTTCTCAAGTTTCTGGCTTGTTGTGGTGTGCATGGAATGGTGAGACCTTTTATCTAGATTAAAAATATAGGAGACAGAGAAAGGTTAAGGCGAGAAGATCCTGTATAAGTGGATTTTGATGAGCCATTGACACATCAGGCAGAGCTTCTGAATGGGAGTGGTGCTGAGGAGGAACAGCAGTGGAGGAGAAGCTGGGAAGCATGGATTTCTTCATGCAGATCATCTCCTACTTGGGTCAATAGATAGCTCTTGATTTTAAGTAGCTTCAGGAGCTAAGTTCTATCTTCTTAGAGTAATTGTCCTGTCAATACTGAACCATGGTATACTGTCCTTGTTCTAAATACAGTACAAAGATCTTTTCTGGCACAGGGACTTAATCTGAGCTACTAATTTCCATTTTGGGGCTTTTTGCCAGGCTATTTGAGGCAGCATTTAGAAGCAGAGAAAAGTAGATTAGCACTGACTATCATTTTTTATGTTTAGACTCCAAGCTGATAAAGCAATGACATTTTTATTATTTCAGCATGGTTTTGTGGATGTGTCACAATTATTTATATAGTTTTTTTTTAGGTAAAGGAAATTAAATTATTTGAGGAACTGTGCCCTCACCTTGTGGCTGAATCTATCTGGTGCTGCTCTTCCTTCTCCTTTCCCTCACTCCCTTACATGGTCAGGTCATTTTAAATATGTCCAGTCTTCAGAGGAGATGCCTCCTGATCTCCCAACTATCACTGAGGGGTGGAAGGTAGTGCTTATTCCTCATTTGTTTGATAGTGCTCAACACCTTGGGTTAAGATCTTTCCTGGAAGAGAAATGGTAGGGAAGCAATATGCAAAAGATGAAGACATGGCTATAATTTAATTCTTAATTGTTCTAAAGTGACGTATTTCAGACATAGCAGGATAAAGACTTGGGTACATGTTTCAACAGAATTTATTTAGGATTTAATATTTTATACCAGATGTTAGGATTTCCTTGTGGAGGGATAAGGGATTGCATGTATATAAGCAACAGGGCCTGGTAGTTCTGACCTGAAGAAGCTTATTCATTTCCTGGGGAAGATGGATTTTCAAAGAAATATATGCAAATCAATGAGAAAAGTACTATAATAAAAGAATATCCAAAATAGTATGGAGATTCAGAGCATAACTGCCTGGAAAATGCTAAGAAATTCTTTACAGAAGAATGCTTCGTGGGAAGTCTATAGGCTTGTCTGTCTTGTTTGGACCAGATGGCAGACTTGTTGAAGGTCATGTCCCTTTCCCTGAACTGGACTTTCTTTCCATTTTATCTGTGCTGCTTCAAATGCATTTGTTGCTTGGCTTTCTATGGCAGTTTCTTAGGCATAAGTCTTTTTCCTATACTCTCCTGGAACATCTTCAGGGCAAGACCCCTGTTTGTTCAGCTCTCCATCCCCTGCCATACCCAGTAGGTGCCATAGCAACACATGAAATCTTACATTTTGTTCTCAGAACAGCACTGTAACATTGATGTTATTATTAGCACCATTTTTAAAGGTAAGAAAACTAACACACAGAGCATTGAAAACTTTTCTCAAGGTGTCTCAGTCAGTTTGGGCTGCTTTAACAAAATGCCATAGACTGGGTGGCTTAAACAACAGAAAATGGATTTCTCACAGTTCTGGAAACTAGGAAGTCTAAGACCAGCTCGTAGATGAGTTTCTTGGGAACCTGGCTTTTGCCCATAACGGACCTAACAATGGTGACTACTGTTTTCTGTCCTGATGTCAGGCTAAGTATTCATAAACACCTTGACTTGATGTTTACAACTTCATAAGGTAGATTATTTGTATTCTTGTTTAAAGGTAAGAAAATAAGTTGGCAAATTTACAAGTATGGAGGAAAAGGCGTACATGCAAGGAAAGTTAAACAAAAATAGATTTAAATGGTAAAGACTAATGATATTAGAATATCTTAAGGCAGAACGGACCTAGTTGCCAGATGCCTGGTACTTAACAATAACTACCATTTATTGTGTTGTATGGATGTGGCTTATTTTTGGTGAAGCACTTTACAATAATCTTCACAGTAGCAGTTAGAAGTGAGGAAAATGGACTTTTCCTTTTACTGATAATAAAATAGAGGCACAGAGAAGGTAATTGCCGATGATCACATGAGTGTCAGGGTACGTGTCAGGTCTGTTTCCACTATTTATTCCCTTAAATACTATGGAATTAGAGCAACGTAACACACTGAGATGTTAAACTTGGAGTTTTTCTTTTTTACCCCGTCTTATGTATGGTCTCTGTCTAATCAACCAGTGTCTTCACATTACCTTGTGGAAAATCAGGGGCATTTTAGGCAGGAGCAGAGTAGGTGGGAGGCACGTCTGTAGAAAAGCAGTGGAAGCAAAAGAAAAAAGCCTGTTTTTTTTTTAAACTTTCAAAATAGACTCTTGAAGTCCACATCAAAAATGACAGTTTTAAAAGCAAAGTTTTTGATCTTAAGAGCTAAGTTTTGTTGAGAGAAGAAAGGGCTCCTGAAATAAAAAATAAAGTTCTTGTAAAGTCAGGAATAGAGTTTATGCCATAATAGATTAGGAAAAAGACTAAAGGAAGATCTAAAAGCTTTCCTCCCTATATAATCCTCCCAAGACTAGGATCCTTAGGCTGGTAGAAAAGGAGAGTTAGGTAGGACTTGAGTAGGGAGCAGTCTCTTGGGCTGCTGTGATGGGACTGGGCCTGGGCTAACCCACAGGGAGAGAAGCAAAGCAAGTATGGAGAGTTTGTCCAGCACTAGCCATGACCATCTCAGGGCACCCAGCCTAAACCTATTCTCCTTCACTTTTGAAATGAACATCTGAAGTCACTGGGGTCAAGGAGCCATAGTGGTTGCTCACCATCACTTACCATGCCTTCCGAGGATGGATGTCTGCCTGCTGCTAATGGATTGACCACTAGAATCCATAGTCCTCCCAGTGCCCCAAGATTGTGCTGAGCTTTGACGTGAACCACTAAGTTTGGGCATTCTCCTTTTTCTATAAGGAGAATGAGGAACAGGATTGCCCTGCAAGGAAAACCAGTTCTTGTCTGAGTGAGAATGACTATTCAAAAGGAGAAGTGAAGAATACTCTAATATGGCCTCCTGGAGCAGGAATGACCAAAACAGGACCTCCAGGAATGGGTAGAAGCTGGGAGGACTGAGGGTGAGAGGAGCCTGAGAGGTCTGGGAGCAGGGTGAGCAAAAATGTAGTCCTGGAGAAGCACAGTTAGAGTTGAACAAGTGCTTCTTCAATCTTGTGGTTCTGGATTGGGGCCACATTCTGGCAAAAGAGCCTTTGAATGGCAGATTAGGGTTTAGACATCAGCTTGTGTGCAGGGGGAAGCCATCAAAGCTGTCTTTTGTTTGCCTGTTGATTTGTGTGACTTGATAAAATTCTCTACTGAGCATTTCTCATAGTACCCACTTAATTTTTAAAAACAACTCCAGAGCAGTTAACAACTCCAAGTAGCCTAAGGCTGTGTAACTGAGAAGAGGTAGAAGTCAGCAGATTTGATTTTATATCCATGTGAGACAAAATTGTGTGCTTGTTCAAACCTTTCACTCTGTCTTCTGTTCCCTCCCCGATGTTTGATAATGCCAGAGCCCAGAGTGGACAGACTCTAAGTGGTATCTAGGGGACAGACCGTCGAAGACCCAGATGTGTTCCTGCAACCTTGCCAATAAGTATAAGTCCCTGACAGCCCCACCTCCCCAAGTGTTTCTAGCTTGTTTATTCCCAGGTTAGGTGTCCCCTTGTTCTCCTAATTTCTACCTCTCTGGGAAGCAAAATGAGTGTCAATCACCCCTAAGCCTTGGCCCCAATGCTGCAGGCAAATAGTTCTTTATCTCAACCTCTTAGTTCCTAGGTCTGTACTTTACACAGGATCAGTGTGTGTAATCTTTTGTTCTTTTGTCTTCACAGTAACTTAATTCCTGTGGTAAGGGAGGATCATGTGTATTCTTAAGTGTGGGTCCTTATTATTTGTATGTAGTTTGCATCTGTATTCTGTCAGCTCATTAGTTTGTCCACTTTTCATTCAGTTAATGACAAATGTGGAGTATGCAAATGTTTGACATTCAAAACAGACAGCTCTGCAGTTCTGTGCTTTTAGATCATTTACTCATTTCTTCTTAGAGATTTATCTAAATTAGCATGACAGTGGCCGTGTTTCCTCATAGTTGTACGTGTCCTTTATGGAGTTATATTTGGCACCCCAGAATTAGGAATGAGATCGTTAACATCAACAATTCATTGAGATAAACAGGACCAGTGTCCTTGTGCTCTTTTCATAGATGAGGAATCCACAATACCCAAGAGGTGCACTACTGTCTGGTGAGGTGGTGGTGATGGCTCAGAATGCTCACTTGTGTTCATTCCTTTGGCATTCAGCTTTACACTCAGGGTAGAAGCAGCTATGATTTCTCCCATAAGAACAGCCAGGTCTGTGCTGGTTTATCACATGCAGTTCTGTGCTTTTAGGTCATTTACTCATTGGCCAGTTCATGTCTCTGGGGAGACATGCACGCACGCACACACGTTATATTCCAGCCAAATCGAACCATGCTTATTTTCCAGAATGTTCCATACATTTTCCTACCTCTAAGTATCTGCAGACATTGTTGTTCTTGTTACTAGTATTACAAAATAATAATAATGATAAAAATAGCTATCAATTATTGAGTGCTAATATCTTAACTCACATTTTCTTATTTAGTGTTACTATTTTCATGTTTAAGAGATGAAGAAATAAGGTTTGGGGCATTTGGTGAGCCAGGACGTATTTCTGTCTCACTCTAAAGCTGCTCCCTCTGCCTCAGCGCTGCTTTCTTCCTGGTCACCTGGCTGACCGCAATTTATCCTTGGGACTCAGGGTATCTGTCTCTTGCTCTCTACCCCTCCCCACAAATCCCCAATCTATACTAAATGCTGCTCCCTTGAAGTGTCTACACCACCCTATACTGTAATGTAGCACATTGCACACTGCACTACATTGGATAGCTTATCTGGCTAACTCCTTTACTACAGAAAGGGACCACCACATCTGTCTGGTTTCCTGTTGTATCTCCAGGCTGAGTAGTGCTAGACTGTCATTGCTCAATAAAGGTGAAATAAGTGGCTGAAAATGACTTGGCAATTGTGGAAGGAGAAAGCTCCCCAGAACCCTTCAGCTATATAGAGATTGTTGCTCTTGAAGCCCCTCCTCTCCTAGCCCATAGCAGGTGATCAGCAAATATTTGTTGATTGACTGAATGAATCTGATGAAGAGGAGTCTGAGCAATTAGTGACAGGGAGCTTTGGGAATCTGGCAGTGCCTCAGTTGCGGGTTGGAGGAGTAGGAGGAACTAGGGGCAGTGGGACGGGTATGGGTGTGAGTGTCTGATCCCATCTCTGAGTTGCTAACAGGCCATCTTTTATTTGGTTTTTGTGAGTTTCTGTTTTCTAAGTGGAACCTAAATGTCAGTTATGTAGGCAAAGAACAAAATAATTCTCTAGCTGCTATTTCTTTTCCAGCTGGCTTTATACCTACCATTAGAGAGAGATGAAAGAGACCTATGGAAGGCAGATCTTACCTGGTTTTACATGCACATGTGTACCTGTGTGTGTGTGCCTGAGTGTGTGTATGCACACACACTCATGTGTGTCTCTCTGGGGACTGGGGAGAGGTTCTGTTTTGCCACCAGCCTCTCTTTGAAAGGCATTGCTGTCATCACAGTGAAACATGTGGCATCAAAGCAGCAGCAGCAATTATGCCACCATTTGGATGTCTGTGCTATGGCAGCATCTGTTGATGCTTTGAGACTCTTCTGCCAGGATTTCGCCGCCAAACCATCTGAACCATATGTTCTCATCAGCAGGAATACCAGCATCCCAAGTCTTTCAGGGGTGAGGCATCATAGATCAATGACCGACATCTCGATCTGGATAAGCACAGCTTGTGTTTGGCTTAGATAGCGGAGGGGAGGGGATGGGATGTTTTGCAATTTTGATTTTTGAAACAAAGGTATTAAAAATAATGTGGAATTTACTTATGATCCACAATAATTGGCAGTGTAATTAATGGATTAATTAATTACGAGTGCAGTATTTTTCCAAGACCTAATCTACTGGCTCGTTAGTGAGAAGAATCATTAAGCAGAATAGCATGAAGGGCTTCACTCAGAAGCAGTTGTTTTTGTAAGTGGCACTAGAGTTTCTTTAACTTCTGGTCAGGGAGGGTCTCACTTTCTGTTGACACTAACATGGGGATTTTATATGCTACTGACTTGTTATGTTGTAATATCTCAAGAATTGCTCTTGATTGCTTTCTAATTGTTACAGATGTACGTGTTCTATTATCTATCCCTCTTTTTCCTAAAGAAGAGAGATGCTTGTCAAGGGTGGGGACTGCATCTCCTATTCCTTTCCACTCCTAGAAACCCACCACAGCACTGGACATGTAGGAGGTGCTCAGTAATTCACTCAAGGAAAGAATAACATTGGCAAGTAAGACTTATTTAGGAGGCACTATAGTGTGGTTAAGTCACTGATAGATTATAAAAATTAAAACTTTTTAGGTCTGGCAGCGGCTCACACCTGTAATCTCAGTACTTTGGGAGGCCAATGCAGGCAGATCGCTTGAGCCCAGCAGTTAGAGACCAGCCTGGGCAACATGGCAAAACCCTGTCTCTATGAAAAGTACAAAAACAATTAGCTGAGGGTGGTGGCATGCACCTGTAGGTGGAAGGATTGCTCAAGCCTGGGAATTGGAGGCTGCAGAGAGCCGAGATTGTGCCACTGTGCTCCAGCCTATGCTGGAAAGAAAGAAAGAAAAGAAAAAAAATTAAAAGTGGGAATATAAACTCACCCTTTCCACCACCAGTTAGAAATAACCATTCTTATTATTTTGGGGCAACAAGCAAGAGGCAGTTTTGCTACCTAACGTGAAATCACAGCTCTGTCACTGCTCAGCTGTGGGATTTGGGCAAATTCCTTGATCTATTGGTATCTCAGTTTCCTGAGATACAAAAAAAGAAAAAAAAAACTTTATCAAAAAACTCTGTATCTTATTTATATATATAACAAAAATTTAAAGGAAAAAAACTCTCATTTTAAAATTGAATCTACAGTCTTTCCATTTTCTTGGACAATTTAAAATTAATAGGAAAAAATTTGTTATTATAGATGCCATAGAATATTCGTACTTACCAGTTATACAGATGAAGGCTATTGGAGTCTTTAAAACTGGTAAAAGTTTCTAGTTCTTTTCCTACACTGCCTAACTTTTAAAATTAAAGCACATTAAATGTATCCTCAGAATTCAGTTCCCATTAAGGCAGGGATGTCTGTTTTGTTTTCTGCCACACCCATTGGCTAGGAGAGTAACTGGTATATAGTAGGTGTTGAATATTTGCTGAATGAATGAATGAACCCAAGGTCCTTTCCAGCCCAGTTGAGAGTGAGTAGTATAAAATAACCATTTTCCTGCTTAATAACATTAGCTAAAATATTTTCAGGAGTACTAAAGACATTTTCCTCCAATTTTTCCAGATATATTCTCTTTTGGTCCTTTACCAATTTCTCACTTTGTCTTCCTGTAATGCTGAACGACTTGAGTTTAAATAGGTACTTGAATTGATTGACAGTATTGACATTGTTCAGCACTTAAGAGTCTCACCTATCATATATAGTGGGTGCTCATTAAGTATTTGTAGGAACAGTGCAGCTTGTCTGATTACCTATCAGGTCTCTTCTGTACATGGCCACCTTTTTGCTCATTAGTATTTATAAGCCAAGGCTGTATGCAATTATGCCCAGGTCTTTCATACCAGCCTCATCTCTTACCATGCCTGTCGAGAGTTCAGCACTACAGCCTCATCACAGTTCTCTCTGTTCTACAAGGATGCCCTTTTTTGCATGCCTTCTTTTTCCTCCTTGCTTTGCATCCCTATGACCCAGATTCAGTGTCACTTTTTTTTTTTTTTGAGATAGAGTCTCGCTCTGTCACCCAGGCCAGAGTGCAGTGGCACAATCTGAGATCACTGCAATCTCCACCTCCCAGTTTCAAGCTATTCTCCTGCCTCACCCTCCTGAGTAGCTGGGATTACAGGAGGCTGCAACCACACCTGACAAATTTTTGTATTTTTAATAGAGACAGGGTTTCACCATGTTGGCCAGGCTGGTCTCGAACTCCTGACCTCAGGTGATCCTCCCACCTTGGCCTCCCAAAGTGCTGGGATTACAGGCATCAGCCACCACGCCCGGCCCAGTGTCACCATTTTTGATGTCTTCCTTGGGCATCCTTGGCTCCTTTTTTCTCCTTCTATGTTAATATTTAGCCACTTGTACAGCAGTATAAATTCATTTGGGTGTCTTTTCCCTTAGGAGAAATTAGTGTTTTACCCTGTCTCCTCTCCCCTACAGCCACTTCACTCTAACATCCAGTCAGTCATGGGCACATCCAGACCCTGTCAATGTTTACAGAAGAAGATAATAGCTTCCTTCACCTACAAGCATAGGAGTAAATAGGTGTTACATCTAATAAATCTGAAGGGAATGGTGCACTTTCATGAGCCAGGCATTTTACAACTTTAATGCTCAAAAACTTTCCAAGATGAATATGATCATGAATCTACTTTGTTCTGAGGAAACAGACACTTGGAGCAGCTGAGTATGGTGTTAAAGTGTAACTAGTCCCAAACCAGGATTTGTTTACTTATCTAAACCTTGGTAGCTCTGCTTTCCTGGCTGCCTTTTTGTCTCATATACAGGTGTTTTATCTAAGCCAGAGGGGCAGAATTTACAAGTGCATACACTTACTCTCATACAGCCTGGCAATGGAAGATCCCGTCTACATGTATGGATAAAATCATGGAGTGGTTTATTGCCAGTAGGAATTGGGTATTGAGGTATGTGGTATGGATCAGTGGCCTCTCCTGGCCCATTGGTGGAGAACATCCAGGGACCCCGTGGAAGTGCAAGGCTGAGATGAGAAATCACAGCTCAGAAGTCAGCCATGGTGGGTCTCCCCATCTCATCATACCGTTCTTAGTAACAGAATAAGTCACTAAGTTGTGTTTTGTTGGCCCTTTGTTATTTATTTATTTTTTTTGAGATGGACTTTCATTCTTGTTGCTCAAGCTGGAGTGTGGTGGTGCAGTCTTAGCTCACTGCAACCTCCACCCTCGGGGTTGAAGCGATTCTCCTGCCTTAGCCTCCCAAGTAGCTGGGATTACAGGCACCCACCACCACACCCAGCTAATTTTTGTATTTCTAGTAGAGACAGGGTTTCACCATGTTGCCCAGGCTGGTCTTGAGCTCCTGACCTCTGTTAATCCGTCTACATCGGCCTCCCAAAATGCTGGGACTGCAGGCATGAGCCACCACGCCTTGGCCCTCTTTGTTACTTTCATGGGCCACACACCTTTATAAATAAATGAGATTTGGTGATAGTGCAGTTTTTATCAATTAATGATAGTACAATCCTATCTTACAGGAATTTCATGACACCTCACTTGTGCCACCAATGTGTGCTACACTAGACTGTAGTGGGGCTAAAACTGTTAACAAAATCCTTTTTGGTTTGGTCTTTATATATATAAAAAAAATTAACTGCGATTTTTGGGGGGAGTTGGGCACTAAGCAGTACATTTGCCCAGATGTTAAAAGTTAATTTCTAAGGGATGGGGAGATTTTGTTTATGGTATGGGAAGGAAGCTTAAAGGGAATTAGTTTAATTGTGTCAGAATATTAAGCAATCTTCTGCCATCTGCTGTCAGCAGCGCATGGGTCCCCTAAGGTTCGCTTTTCCATTACTCTGACTTTCTCCCCATCTAGATGGAGTTCCCAATATCATTAACATGCCTCACATAGTTTCTTTTGAAGCTTTGGCTGGGTTAAATCACTTTTACTTATGCAAAGTGGATTGACTAAAACCTTTTCCCCAAACACCTGCCAGACCAGCTATTTTTGTTTCCCCTTGCAATGGACTCATAGCAAGTCTCACGCATGCATCACCAGATCACCAGCTACTCCGTTTAATTGTGCTGCTCTTTCCACTCATCCTCAGAGAGAAGCTCGCTTTTTCCAGAAACTGCCTTCCATCCCCCGCTTGCGAACACGCCACCTCTTCTCCTTCCCAGAATTTTTTTTTTTTTTTTGCCTGCCTTCTGTCTTAAGGGGATTGCCCAGATAGATATCAGTGACACTCTATTTGCCTGTGTTATGGAATACTATTTTACAAACTTTTTTTGACTGTAATCTACAGTAGGAATTAGAGTTTACATTATGACCCATAATACACACAAATACACACATACATACATACTCATGTACACAAGGACCACCATAACAAAAACTGGGGGGCTTCAACAGCAGAAATGTATTGTCTGACAGTTCTGGAGGTAAGAAGCCTAAAATCAAGGTGTTGAGAGGGCCACACCCTCTCTGACTGTTCTAAGGGAGAATCCTTCCTTGTCTCTTGCTAGCTTCTGGTGGTTGCCAGCACTCCTTGGCTTTCCTTGGCTTATGGATGCATTACTTCAGTCACATGGCCATCTTCTCCCCCTGTCTTCACATTGTCTTCCCTCTGTGTGTGTCTGTCTCTGTCTAAATGTCACCTTTTCACACCTGTAATCCAAGCACTTTGGGAGGCTGAGGCGGGTGGATCACCTGAGGTCAGGAGTTCAAGACCAGCCTGGCCAACATGGCAAAACTCCGTCTCTACTAAAAGTACAAAAATTAGCCAGGCATGGTGGTGCATGCCTGTAATCCCAGCTACTTGGGAGGCTGAGGCAGGAGAATTGCTTGAACCTGGTAGGCGGAGGTTGCAGTGAGCTGGGATGATGCCATTGTACTCCAGCCTGGGAAAAAGAGTGTAACTCCGTCCCAAAAAAAAAAAAAAAAAAAAAAAGTCATCTTTTTATAAGGACACAAGTCATATTGAATTGGAGCCCACCCTATTAATTTTATTTTTAACTTGATTGCCTCTACTACAGACCTTATTTCCACATAAGGTCACATTCTGACATATACTTGGGTGGGGGATACCTACCCAGCTAGGGCTCCAACCTATTGTGTTTAGGGAGACACAATTCAACCGATAATAAATAACTCACCTTAAATAATGCCTTCATGTTCTGTTCTGTTCTAGTTTATTCTATTCCATTCCATTATTTTGTTTAGACATGTTTGTTGCTTTTCACTAACTTGATTTCACATTGATTTGAAAATACTGTTTGGGACAGTGTTCTGAGTCTGAATCCTGGCTTCTCTGATTTTCAGTTTCTTCACATAATAAACACAATCTTACTTCAGAGGATTGTAGTGAGAATGAAGGAGAAATAAGAGAAAGTACTTGGTAAGGTAAATACAGTAAAGACAAGTAAAAATGAGCAGGAAATCAGGAGCATTAATCTGTTCAATGAAACTATATAGAATCCTTTATATCTGATATGATCAGGACCTTGAGTTGTTTGTTAACCAAATAATTCAGTGAAAGTGTGGGATTATTAGCAATTACATACACATATATACACATATTAAGATGTAAATAGTTTATGAGTTCTCCAGCCTTTTAATGTAAGACTAAGAGTTTTGTGGTTTTGTTAAGAGTCCTGTGATTGATATCAGACATCATGTTTCTTGCATAAAGCCCATATCATCTACTGACCATTTCCTCTGGAGTTTCTTTATAATGGAGTGAAAATTTCAAAACACAAAATAACCTGAGGATAGAATTCGGACTAGAGATTCCTTTACCAGTAGAGGAAATAGTTAATGATATTCCTGTAAAATTTTAAGATTCTTTTGTCCACATCTAATTTGATGGGTGATTTTTAAAAAATTGATTCTCATTTAATTTTCTTTCTGTGCACACTCATATGAAATATTTAATTAAATTATAAAATGTTGTTAACAAAACTGGCAAACTAGTAAAACTAGTTTGGGGAACAAACTCAGTTGATTCTTGACACGCCCACAACTTGGTTGGTGGGAGCAGAAGAGGAAATATCCTACAGAAATGCCTATTTTCCATGACCCTTTATTCCAGCTATGGGCATGGGTTCGTATTTTACAGAGGAAATGGAGAGCAATGGTTGATTTGGTGAGCCCCTTAAGTGGCAGTGGATTAAGGGAGCTTTTACCTTTTAACAACCACTTACGCAAATCAGTTGTCAGCCACAGACAGCCTAGATGTTTTAGGAGACCCTTGTGTAAACCTTCTGTAGCACTAATATCCGTGTATTCACCAGGGATCCAGGGTATGTGATCAAAAGGCAGATCTGGCCAACAGGAGGTGCAATACAGACAGAGTTGAGTTGTTCACTAAGTGTTTTTCTTCCTGCCTGCTATACTTCAAGAGTCTGTTGGTGTGGGCTTGGGATGTATATATTCTTATTGAGGCACAGACTATTGGCTTTCCTTGGCTCTTGCCCAACACCTCTGAGATTGTCAGGAAGGGAAAATACACTTCGCAGTGGAGTAGCTTTCTCTATTAACGTGGGTGACTTTTTGCCTGTGTTAGTATTTTTATCTAGCAAAATGAGTTGAAGCTGAACTTTTAAAAAGACATATGCATAATTTCATCAGGTATTTATTATTAAATGTCAAGTGATGATATATTAACTTAGTGAGGTAATGCCAAAGAAATCCACAGAAGGCCTGAAGTCTGGCTGTAAATAGCTGAGAGCCATTTTCTTTGTAACTGTCTTAGGTTTGGATCACTTATCCACAAAATGTATAGGCTTTTGACTTTGATTGTGTCCTTCTAAGTGTTTTCTCTGCAGATCACAGTCCTCAAAAAATAGACCTAATATTCAGAAGATAAGGTTAATGAGAAATGGCGAGTATTGTAAATGGACCAAATTATGAAAGAAACCAAAATAAAGACAAAGATTTCTGAAGTTAAAAGTACTGTAGTTTGGCAATAAAAGGTCATATCATTGCATATTTGTGCATTACTTACTTCCTGTCAGATGCGCATTTTCTTATAAACAGCGCTATGAAGGAGGTACTTTCTATAAAGTTTTTTCTCCAAAGAAACAGACACTTGGACATTTAAATACTAGATAAGTAACAACAGGGTAAGCCACCTAAATAGAAGGGAGATAAATATCAAAATTAAATATAATACATAATAAAGTTATGAAGTAAGTTGATATGAACAGCAAATGAGAGGAAGCACAGATCAATAATATTCAAAAGAGTATATAATTTCATAATTAAAAGATTTATATAAGTATGTACAGATACTCACTAAGAGAATACCATAAAAACAATCTGCTGGTAATTTACAAAACCTAAATGAAATGGAAAAATCCTGGAACAAATATAGATTATTAAACTTGACCTAAGAACAAATAGAAAATCTGAAAAGATTAAAACCATAAAGAAGGAGACACCTTGTTTCAACCGTGACATATATAGAGTTTGGAAGTCCTTATTGCCATTCTTACAACAAGAGAAAAATGAACTAACTAGAAATTTACTTTTCTTGAGATTTGGTTACCTGGAGCAGAAACCACCAGATGCCATAAGCTGGCGGGGATACTTTACTAGTTATTTTGATGAATTGCTGGAAACTGAGTGCAGGCTAGTGGGAGATTAATAAGCTCCTGGGAGTTGCTGTCTAAGGGGATCTTCACACTTTCACAGGCTTTTCCCCCTGGAACTCTACCAGGTGCTCAGTAAGAGGACCCTCATGGCTCTGGGATAGGGGCTTGAAGGGGAGTAGCCTTCGTGAAACCCTTCCTGACTCTTCTCTCTAACAAAGACCTCATCTCTAGGAGGAAAGACTTCCCCACAGGGCAATTCTGAAAACTTATCCCAGCTGGGAGACGAGAATTTGGTCCAAAGAAATAAAAACCATAGTCAACAGGGGAGCTTCAAGGTAATAACCAGGAAAGGGACTAGAGCTGAAGGTTGGGCAGAAATAAAGCTCTACCTGTGAAGAGGGACAGAAACACATCTGAAATTCACACCCTTGAAACACAGCCTCACTGAAAGACTGAGGCTTAATTAAGAAGACTTGCAACACCATCCTCCCCTACACTCCACCACAATGACAAGGCTCCAGTAATAATAATAGGGGAGCCCAGCTGAAAAGCTGCAAGGAACAGACTCTCTGTGAGAATCAGTACAAAGGTAAGCCCCAAAGCTAGGAGGAGAGGAACAAAGAAGCCTGCTATAGGAATTTGAAGACTTTGGCACCAGTAGCTACAATAAACATTAAACACAGCTCATCTCAGATTAATAGAAATTCTCACACCAATGGCCTATTTACTTCAGTGCCTATTATCCTATAGAACATGTCTGGCTTTCAACAAAAATTTACAAGGCATGCCAAAAGGCAAAGAAACAAAAAACATCCAAAGACATAAAGCAAGCTTCAGAACCATACTCAGATATGACACAGATTTTGCAATTATCAAGTAATTTAAAATAATTATGTTTAATTTGTTAAAGGTTCTAATGGAAAAAGTATACAACATGCAAGCCTATATAGGTAATGTAAGCTGAGATATTAAAACTAAAAAAGAATAAAAGTAAATGAAATTAAAAATTAAAACCCACAATAATGGAAATAAAGAATGTTTTCAACAAGTTCATAGGTAGATAACACAACCACGGGAAAAAATATTGATGAACTTGAAGATAAGTTAATAAACCTTCCAAAACTGAAATGTAAACCAAGAAAGGATGGGGAAAAAAGAGACAGAAAATTCAAGAGCTGTGGGAAAGCATAAATGACGGATAATGTTTTCAGGGTGAGTCTTTGTTTATTTTCTGTCCTAGGGGAGAAAATAATTAGAGTAATATTACTCAAGAATTCTCGGTCTGGGTGCAGTGGCTCACACCTGTGATCCCAACACTTTGGGAGGCTGAGGCAGGCAGATCTTTTGATCTCAGGAGTTCCAGACCAGCCTAGGAAACATGGTGAAACCCTGTCTCCACAAAAAAATACAAAAAAATTAGCTGGACATGATGATGCGTGCCTGTAGTCCCAGCTACTTGAGAGGCTGAGGTGGGAGGATCACTTGACCTGGGAGGTTGAGATGGCAGATAGCTGAGATCACACCACAGCGCTCCAGCATAGGTGACAGAGTGAGACCCCCTCTCAAAAAAAAAAAGAAAGAAAGAAAAGAAAAAGAACTTTCCAACATTAATAATAGACACAAAACCATAAGTCCAAGAAGCTCAGGGAACACCAAGCAGAATAAGTATCAAAAACCAAAAAAAAAAAAGGCCAGCACCAAAAACCCCATAGCTAGACATGTCATATTTAAAACTGCAGAAAACCAAAGGCAAAGAGAAAAAACCTTAAAGGAAGGTGGGGGCAAGGGACATAAAGAAGTGGAATTAGAAATCAAAACTTGTCCACTCTCCCTTTCCACCTCCACCCAACCATGCCTCCTTCACTAACAAGATAGCAGGCCCATCAGTCTTACAGACAAGTTTACTTGCAAACTTGGTAGTACCATGGCCTCAGCTTACATACGCAGAGCTTGAGCTCCTCTCCACCATTCTGTCTCCAAAGAAAGAAAAATGAAGATGGATATGGGGGGACAAGTAGATGTAATGTCAACAAGAAGAAAAAGTCTGTGGTACCTGAGCAAGATGTCTGTTTACATTGATTTTGTATTTGAGGTTTTCTTTCTTCTTTTTACTTTACCCACTCTTCTAAGTTCCCACACTCAATGTCTTCTTAAATTGTTTAATTCAAGGATTTTTCACTTACTTGCTGTGTTTCCCTGAGCCAGTCTTATTTGCTTATTTTTCCCTAAAAAGGAATGTTCTTTGTAACATTGAGAAGGCTCCCAGAAACAGTGAGTTAAATAAAATTCATTGCAGTATGTGATTAAGTGCCAGGTGGATATTGCAAAATGTAAATGTGATAGGAGTTTAGAGATGAGAGCTGGAGGTACAATATAGGAAGATATAAAAGAGTTAGATTTGAGGTAGGCCTTAAAATTTGTGGTTGCTATTTACAGAGGTGGAGCTTATTTCCAGGGGTGTTCTAGGCCAGGACAACTGCACTACTAAAGGCCCAGGGCGGGGGAATGTGTAGGACAATGCACTGGCTCATTTGCTCCATCAGCAGAGAAAAGTTTATATTATGGAGTGTTACAAAACAAGTATGGGGGCCGGGTGCAGTGGTTCGCACCTGTAATCCAAACACTTTGGGAGGACAAGGTGGGAGGATCACGAGGTCAGGAGATGGAGACCATCCTGGCTAACATGGTGAAACCCCGTCTCTATGAAAAATACAAAATATTAGCTGGACATGGTGGTGGGTGCCTGTGGTCCCAGCTACTTGGGATGCTGAGGAAGGATAATTGCTTGAACCTGGGAGGCGGAGGTTGCATGAGCCAAGATTGTGCCACTGCACTCCAGCCTGGGCCACAGAACAAGAGTCCGTCAAGAAAAAAAAGGGAGAGAAAGAGAAAGAAAGGAGGGAGGGAGGGAAAAGTTGTATATCCTACCCTGAAGAGAAAAACAACTACAGGTTTTGGAACTTTCATCCATAAACTCATTCATTAGTTCCTCCATTCAACAAATATCAAGGATCTGTATATGTCAGTCCCTACACTACCACAGAGAGTACAAATATTAAAAAAGACATTATTCCTGCTTCCAAGGAGCTTTACTTCTAGAAAGACAGATGTGTTGATGGCTAAAACACACTGTGACAAGTGCTGTACTAGTGGAATGTATGCTGGGTACAGGATAGCCAGAAGAAGGAGTGATTAATTCTGTCAGGTAGGAAGAAGAAAATAAAAAGAACTGGGAGAATGGAATCCCAAGTAAACTACCCTGGATAACCTAGTAGCTAATCCACCTTTGTCAAATTCTCAACATTATTTCTCAGTGAGTGTTCATTTGACCTTTGAGGTCTTCTGCTTGTCTTTGGTCACAGCCTAACTCCATTGTTTGAAGACCATGTCACCATGGTACAATATGGCAGGTGGATGAAACTGACCTACTGGCAATTTCCCCAGGTACCTCTTACTTCCCATGATGGCTAATTTTATGTGTCCACTTGCTTGGGCCAAAGGATGCCCAGATAGCTGGTAAAACATTTCTACATTTGTTTGTGAGGATGCTTCTGAATAGCATTTGATTCAGTAGACTCAGTAAAGAATGCCCTCACCATTGTGGGTGAGTATCACTCAACCCAATCCATTGAGAGCTCATGTAGAACAAAAAGGCAGAAGAAGGGCCATTCACTCTCTTTGCCTGAGCTGGGACATCTATCTTCTCCTACCCTTAAACACAGATGCTCCCGGTTCTTGGGCCTTCAGACTCAGATGGTAACTTATACCATTGGCTTCCCTCGTTTGCAGACCTTTGGGTTTGGTATGGAATTATACCACCGACTTTCCTGGGCCTCCAGCTTGCAGACAGAACATCATGAGACTTCTCAGCCCCCATAATCATGCAAGCCAACTCCTCATAATAAATCTCTTTCTGTATGAACCCAGTTGGTTCATTTTTTTCTGAATAACACTGATTAATATACCACCCTATCCTGTGTTCTTCCTCATGACCATTTTCTCCCAAGCAGATCTCTCCTGTTTGACAGATGTTTCACTTTGGGGCATGGAGGTTGCTTCACTCTGATCATGGAGGATACTTTTCCAGTGCCTTCTCATGGTGCTCTAGAGGATCACAGGCATCATGGAGGGTGCACCTGGGAGCATCCTTACAACAGCATCTGCTGCAATATGAAATTCATTGTGGCACAACCTTTCTCAAGCCCTTCTCCAAAGAGGTTTATTATTCAGCAAGAACTTGCTGTAATATGATCTCATTTAATAATCTTTCCAGTGGCTTCTAAGGATGGCATTCAAACAAGGCTCCAGTTTATACATTAAGATTCATGCCTGTAATCCCAGCACGTGGGGAGGCCAAGGCGGTAGGATCACTTGAGCCCAAGAGTTTGAGACCAGCCTGGGCAACATAACAAGACCCCATCTCTACAAAATAAATTAGCTGGACATGATGGCATGTGCTTGTGGTCCCAGCTACTCAGGAGGCTGAAGTGGGAGGGTCACTTGGGACTAGGAGCTTGAAGCTGCAGTGAGCTGTGATTACACCACTGCACTCTAGCCTGGGTGACAGAAGCAAGACCCCGTCTCACAAGAACAACAACAATAAAAGATTCATTCAACATTTGGAGGACTTTTAGAAAAATATGTATTTGGAAAGGAGGCAATAAGAAGTTAGGGAATGAGAATGGCTAGAAATTTTGTGTCCTTAGGCAATTTGTAGAAATTTAAAATTTTCAGTGAGCAGTGAAATTCTGCTTTCTTTAGCAAAATTGTTTTGTTTTGAGCTTTCCCCCAACTTCCTAGTTAAAACTGTGAACATTTTGAAACTGTGAATATTTCAAGACATATTCTTGAAATTTGAAATGTGTCTTGTTATTGTAAAAGCTGAGAAAAATCTTCATTCCTTGGTTCATAAGTACGTGTGCTTGATTGATACAGTGTTCCTTATATATCCTTCCTAGTTTCCACTATGAGTTCAGTTTTTGTTTTGATTGATACAGTGTTCCTTATATATCCTTCCTAGTTTCCACTATGAGTTCAGTTTTTGTTTTTTAATCTGGCAGCAGCAGAATTTTTAAAAAGAGACTCTTTTACCATTTGAGCCATACTTTCTATCACATTGTCTTAACATTCCTATGGAGATTGTCTTGCTCTCTGGGAAATAAGCTATTTTAGGGGTTATTAGAGAACTAGATATACTTTATTTCTGATTCCTTGTGTTACCCCAGGCTCTGATAAAACTGTATTTTAGTAGCAGTTTATACACTTCCTCTCTGATTGTATTTTTAGCACATAAAGAGTCCTTAAAAATTCCTTTATAA
Organism: Homo sapiens; assembly: GCF_000001405.40. Lineage (NCBI taxonomy): Eukaryota > Metazoa > Chordata > Mammalia > Primates > Hominidae > Homo > Homo sapiens. The sequence continues at coordinate 178,252 of NW_013171808.1, forward strand.
GTAAGTGTTCCTTTCTTAAATAAATGCCTTAGTGCCTCCTAAACTGGAGTAACCAAGGGAACCAAGGTGTTCTCCTCTCCCTGAACTAATCTGATATCTTTGCTTCGTCACCTGGATTAATTTGCTGCCACGAAAGCTGTGCAGATGGTGGTAGACTTCCAGAATTGTTTCAGAAGGATGAGGTGACTCAGATTCTTCCAGTGAGGTGCTCTGTGTGCACTTGGCCTGGAGGAACATTTAGATTTCAACTCCTTTCCAGGAACCAGTAACAGCAAATCATACTAGTTACCCAATGTCCAGATTGCAGGTATCTCTGAAACCCAGGTGACTGAAATCTCCCAAGGTGGATCAGATAAAGGCATCCTAGCAGGCAAACACTAGACAGATCCAGGTTTCTACCCTCTTCCTGGCCAGATGAGGAATCCACTCTACAGAGCATGAAGGGGACTCTGTTTTTATCATGATACTGTCAAGTCAGTGCCTTTTAAGGTTTTCTTCTTAATATCTTAGAAGGGTTGACCCATAAAGACCACAACAGAAAGGGGCTATGAGAGGCTAAACTTGTTTTAAGGTGAAACTCAATTGTTCTAGCTGCCAGATACCAACCTTGTACTATCTCTGCTTAGGCTTAAAGCCAGGTGATTTTATTAGATAGGAAAATTCTTTAAGGAGGTACTACAAGAGGGTAGTGGGGGCAAACTATGTTAACAAGAGAAAGCCAGGGAGATGGAGATTGACTTTGAACAGTTACGGGATATTTTCGAGAGAATGAGTTTTTTTTATTCCCCATTGTGATGGAGGCTCCGGTATGCTAAAGACTGGAGCTGCAGTAGTGAGGGGGAAGGCAAGCACAGTTCTTGAAGAGATTCTTAGAATTATGCCTTTTCACTTCATACATCTCTTAAACACCGACAACACTGACTACAACATAGTAAGTGTTCTATAAATATTTGTTGAGGGGTAACATGAATAAATATTAAGAATGAATTTTCTAAGCTTTTCAGCACTTGTACCTTTGCTTCAGTTCATGCATTTACTGTAGTTTGCCTGTGTAACTTTGGGTTGATTTGAGAGGAAATGCCCTTGATTACATAAATGTAACTAGTCAAGACCGATCAGACTGAAATCTAATGTAGGCACCTAATTTAATGAGGAGAGAAAAAATTACCCAAACAAGAGCATGTGTAATTATGCTAAATTTCATGACTTTGGGGTCATAAATGGATTTTTCTTGATGTTCATCTGACACGTATTAATTCCAGTTGTTGCTGACTATTAAGCAGCGGCTTGTAGGGTCCTTTATAATAAGAGGACATTAATTCCTGTTAAATTATGATGAGCCTCCTGCAGCATCATACATTTCATTCATATGGATGTCACTAATAAGGAGACAATAAAAGACGAGGAGGATCAAAAGGAAGCTTTTGCTGCAGAAATTGATGGGGAATGAAACTTCCCAGCCCATGAGGCAAAGTGGTGGCAAAGAGCTTTAAAATGGGTGTGTCAGTCAGCTGGGCTGCTGTAACAGAATACCACAGAATGGGTGGCTTAAACAACAAACCTTTATTTTCTCATCATTCTAGAGGCTGGAGAGTTCAAGATAAAGATTCCAGCAGTGTTCAGTTTCTGGTGAGGGCTCTCCTTCTGGCTGCTAGATGGCTGCTTTGTCCTCATGTGGCCTTTCCACTGATCACATGCGAAGACCAGCATGAGAGATCTGAGGTGTCTCTTTTCCTAAGGACACTAATCCTATCAGACCAAGACCCCACTCTTATGACCTCATGTAACCTTAACTACCTCCTCATAATTCCAAATGTAGCCACAAAGTGGGGTTAGGGCTTCAACATATGAGTTTGGCAGGGGTGTAGGGAGGGTATCATTTGGTCCATAGCAGGGGGATAGCTTCGTGTTTGAACTCCAGTTCTTTCTCAACTCAGCTTCTTGACTCTGGCCTGTTGCTTAGGCTCTCCGAGCCTTAGTTCCCCCACCTGAAGCATGGGAGCAGTAATCACAGCCTGGGTTGGAAGATGACACTGAATTAAATAAGTGTATGAAACACCTCACTTAAGGCAGGGCACAGAGTGAACACTCACCAAATGCCAGCCCTCACTGGGATTTTGTCCTTCTTTGCCTGTTCAGGCTGGGTTCCAGGTTTGCAAGGACATTTCTGATGTTGGGACTCCTCTTAGTGATAAGTGGATCATATTCTGGGAGAGCAGAAAAATCTTCAGAAGCATGGATCAAATATGGAACATGTGCCTATGTGAATAAGTGGTGATGTTGAGAAAATGAGAGGATTAGAAAGCATATGAACTCCTATGGAAATTACGGCATAGCGATGCAAAGGAAGGCATTTTTAATGATTTGAGTAAATGAGAGAGTGACCTTGATTCTGTTCTTTCAAATTATAGGATTAGGTGAAGGGCTTGCTTTGATGAGAAAATAAAATGGAATAATTTTCGGCAAAAGTTCGTTTTAAAATTATGTCCATATTTAAATATTTTTCTTTAATAATCCTGTCAACTATTAATGAATTAAACATTACGTATAGAAGTGTTGTTTTTATTTCTTCTGCTGCAAATAAGTCTCATGAGGAAAGACTATACATCTTCTCTGGGCTTTCTTCTCGTGATATTTAAAATTAAGTTCCTCTAGCCAAGTGTTATATATAATTCTTATTCATGATTTTAGCACAGATGTTAATAAATGTCACCACAGTATATTTGCTTTCTTTGTTAACCTGAATCAATGAAGCTTTCGTGTGTGTGTGTGTGTCGTGTGTGTGTGTGTGTATGTGTGTATATAAACACACGAGTAGAGCCTGAACAGCAACACTTTTAAAGAGATAAGCATATTTTTCTCCCTTTGTACTTGAGAAAAAAGATGTCATCCTGTGTCGTTCCAGCTGCATTTCAATACATTTGTAAATTTTCGTTAAATACGCTGCTTGTGCCCTGTGTATTAAGCCTTCTAATGAGCTAATATCAGCCCTCCACTACAGTTTATCTGTGGAATTTCCTCAGCTCAGCAAATGCATAATCTTTCATTCATTCATCCTGTAGAGCACTTGTCAGTTGGTGCTATTTAATGTGACAGGAGGAGGAAAAAAAGCTGTGTTTTAAAGTGCTGTCAAATTATTATCATTTTTTTGGTCCCAGTCCTTGTATTTGGTATTCAAAAGAAACCCTTTATTTTAGGGCATTGAGCACAAAATTAGATCAGTTCCATAAGATAATGACCATATTTCACAGTTAGAAGCCAGCATGATTGCAGGGTAGTGCTTACAACTTAGAGTTGTTTCTTGTTGTTCCTAGAAGTGAACTTGTAGATTTATTTTTCTTTTGTGTTTTGCCAGCCTCAGACAGCATTCTATACAAGTGGTTGGGAAAACAGAACTTTAATTTTTCTGAATTCAGTGTAGTGGAGTGGACATAATCTTTTTGACTACTAAAGTGTCCTGATGTGTTGGGTTTTTTTGACTCATTTGTAAGAAGAAGTAAATAAGAAGTATACATTGTTCAATCCTGGGAAAAGAAAAAAATGCATGAGATGAACAAGGGTCAAAAATGTAAGGAATTTTAAAAAGAGTTTACTTTTTACATTTCTTTTACCTGAGGGTGTTTTTAGGATTATGACTATACCTGCTATGTGTGTGGTGGTTGGTGATTTTTTTTTAAATCATCAGATGTGCTGCAGCTGTGGAATTC